>NC_000023.11:35144623-35294980 GCF_000001405.40 Homo sapiens
AGTGTATCACTGTATACTCATGTTACTCTCCAAGTTTCCTCTGGAAAATATTTTCTAGGTCCTGTACCTTTCTAATATTATAGTTCCTTTCTTCTCTGAGCACATTCAGCACTCTCCCTGCTAGGTTATGTTGTGACTGAAACCTAGTTGTTCGCTGGAGACTAGAAAAGGAATTGAAATAGATCCTGAAATAGGCTTATGTTGAAAGCAAGGTAGAAAGAGAGGGCAATGAGAATTTGCAGGGAGTAACTTCTGAAAGTCAAGAATGTTCAGGGGAATCTGAAAGCTCAAGATTTGCAAGTAAATCAACCTAGATTGTTCCTATCTCAAGCCATAGGCTCCTACTCCTTCCAATCTGGGTTCTATAAAAGTATAGCAGATTTGCTGATTGAGAATTTAGCCTTTTCTTGAGTTCTGCTACTCTTAATTAAGTTCTCTTCTGATTCTTAGCTTTTTGTAAGAATGAGAGTATATTTTTTGTTGCTAAAGAAACTCTCGGCCGGGCGCAGTGGCTCATGCCTGCAACCCCAGTACTTTGGGAGGCCGAGGCGGGCAGATCACTTGAGGTCGGGAGTTTGAGACCAGCCTGTCCAACATGGTGAAACCTCGTCTTTACTAAAAATACAAAAATTAGCCGGGCATGGTGGTGGGCGCCTGTAATCCCAGCTACTCAGAGGCTGAGGCAGGAAAACCGCTTGAACCCGGGAAGTGGAGGTTGCAGTGAGCCGAGATAGCACCATTGCACTCCAGCCTGGGCAACAATAGTGAAACTTCATCTAAAAAAAAAATAAATAAATAAAAATAAATGAAAAATAGAAAGAAACTCTCACTTTTTCCCTGAATACTTACTCTCAGTCTTTCAATGATTTTCACCAATGCATTGGTCAATAGCCATCTAATTACATAGTGCTTATATAATTATTACTTTTGTAGAACCTCTCTAAATCTAAGATATTACATCTGCCAGTACATTCTCTTCCACCGTCTAATCCCATTTTACCATTGGTGAAATTTTAAGTCACACTGTTAAAACATGCTAGGAGATATTTTTCTATGTACCATTAGTGAAGTTGTCCTCATTGCCAGCTAGCCAGCGGGTAATCCAGCACTCAATCCCATTTTCAAATATTTTTTGTACCACTCCTGGCACCAACTGTCTAGGTTTGGTTCACTGGAAACAGACTTTGAGGTGGATATTTTCATGCAGGGAATATTCTCAAGAATAACACCTGTAAAAAGTGAAAGAAGCAGGAACTGAAGCAGAAAAAAGCAAAGCTGAACGGGGATGCCCTTGCAACAGAGGCTTCAACTGATCTCACACAGAGTTTGAAAGCTGGCATGGCCTTCCAGAATATCTCAAATAGTGGGAGGGATACTTCCCTTCATATCTCTGCATTGACCAGACACTGGATGTAGGTTTCCCTAAGGAGGGGGCATAAACTTGGCTGAGAGGTTTCTCTCTGGCTGAGGGAAATTTCTGTGGAGAGAGCCAGATGTGTATTTGCAGCTATAGCCACTCCTCACAGCCAAGGGTATGAATACCTCAGTCCTGAAGGATGGGAATAGGAGGCGTACCACAACATACACTGCAAGTTATGTGAAGAATCAGTTATCTGTGAACCTCTTAGGAACTTTTAAGAAACTGGTTATCTCTGACATCAATCTCTTCCAGCTTATGTCCATCCTCAAAGACAGTCAGCAACATCAAAAAAATAAATTTCATCATGTAACTCTCCATCCCAACTGTGTTCCTAGTTGCCACAAGACTGCATGATCACCAGAGCTTAACATACACAATCTTGCGTCAACTACTCTCTTTGATCTTCTTTCCAACCATTGCACACATAAATTCTAATTTTCTATATACATTAGTATTTTTGAAATATCGGCCTGATATTTCTGCGTAAATCTCCCTGACTTCTTTTCTCTGCCTGAAAATTACCTATTCATAGTTCAAAATCAAATTCAAATATTTATTCCCATGAGAAGTTGCAGCAGTGAAGATACTTTTGTCTGAAATAACAGGAAGTGCAATATTGGCTTAAACAAATAGAGTCCTTTTCATTATCACATAACAAAACATACAGAAGTGGGTGCTTGATTCAAATGCTAAATCATGTCAACTTTTCATCTTCTATCTCTCTGCTCTGACATTCTCATGGTGTTCTTATGTCATGGTTTACTATCTAATTTTCGACAATCACTGTCAAAACCTCAAGTCCTATGATCGTATTCAAAATCAGAAACAGGGATCTATCTACAACACAAAGAGAGGTTGGAAGGAGAGAGCGAGAGAGAGCAAGAGAGAGAGAGAGAAAGAAGGAGGAGGACGAAAAGGAGAAAGAGGAGAGGAAAGTCACTGCTCAGACCATTCTTAAATTTTATTAGGATACTTTTCCCCGGAATACCCCCAGTAGATTTTCTCCAATATTTTACGGGACATGACTTGGTCACATGCTATTCCTGGATCATATTAGGTTGGTGTAAAAGTAATCACTGTTTTTGCCATTGAAAGTAATGGCAAATCTGCAATGATTTTGCACCAACCTAAAAGATTTAACTCTTACTTGATACCAAGGCATCTTCATGCTATAGTTAATTAACTAAAAGTTTATTCACAAGGAAGAAGAGATCAAAATACTGTGGGATAGGTAGCCATAGTATTTGCCACAGAAGCATTCCATGCCACTTACCACGTTGTATCTTGATTTGTTTGTTTACATAACTGCCTCTTCCATTAGACTAACTCCTCATAGACATAGATTAGGACTTTTAAAAAAATATCGATATTATGTAGCATGAAACCTAACCTGTTATAGGTACACAACATTTAAAAAATTAATAAATAATAAAAATAATACATAATTGTCAAAGACAGAGTTTTGAAAATGATCTTGAGGACCTAGGAAAATGGTCTGGCTCATAATAAAAAATAAGCAACTGTCTGTTATGAGCTTTTCACTACTATAAGGATACTGGAGTGCTTTCCTTTTGGATCTGTCCATCCTGACCCCAATACTTTTCATAGTCAGTCATATTTTGTTTAATAATTTTTAAAAAGTAAACTCCAGTAATGACATTTTAGTTTAGAAAAATGTAGCTATCGTTAAGAGGCATCAAGATTCAGTCTTGAGAATAAAAATGTCATTATTTGTGGTGTCATCATAGTTTCATGAATATTTGAAAAAAATTGAGTCATGGACATTGCAATTCTCTCATGGGACACTGGGAGATTGCAATACTGAAAGTTACAATGTAAAATTAAAAGTTTAACTTCTTGTTTGAAGGTAATCTGAAAGCTTAAATCTTCCGAAAAACCAATAATTCAATATTCATTAAAATCAGATATGAGTTTATGAAGACAAAAAACATTTTCAAAAAACATTGTCTCTTTTAATCCTCAAAGAAACTATATATAAAATAAATAATAATTTGCTCTCCTCTTTTACTACATAATCATTACAATTATTTCATGTATGTGTTATTCTATATACACAATAGTGTTACTTATGCTTAGGTAATCCATTTGTCAGAAGAAAATATCTAAGATGCTTTGTGCTCTAGTAATTTCCATTTTTGATTACATTAAAAACTATCACTCAATGAGATAAAGAATAGAATAAGAAAAGTGAATATGTTAGCCTCATTTGATTTGAAGCAGCATTTTTATGCAGCATAATAATGCAGGCATGCCTCTCTGTTTATTCTATAGTTAGTAAATGCGTTGTCTTGGAGCACTTTGAATGACTCCTGATTATAAATCCAAGAACTACTTATTTCAATTAAACAAAATGATTTAGCAATTCTGTCAAGACCTTGATGTCTAGAAATATGGTTCAATTACGGGAGCTTGGTATTTTCCAATTAGATATACAAATGGAGCCAAATTCAGTGGGGCCAAATTTTGAAGTGAAAAATTATGGGATGAGCATGGTTTGAGAAGTTTTTTTTGTTTATTCTAAAGCATCTTGACAAAAGAGTTTTGTCACCAAGAGAAGTAAAACACAAGAAGGGCCAATATCAAGGGCAAAGGATGTGAGGGTCAGAATCAAATCAAGATTTCTTAAAACATCATTAGAACGAGAAACTGCACAATATCTGGGAGTGTTATTAAAATTCTATAGGTAGTGAGCCCAAGAAAAATTCCTTGATTAAGATCATTAGGAATGATCAAAGTGTTCAAATAGCAGATACTGTAAAGACTGTATCTCAGTATAAGGGAAAAGATAGAAACAGATTTGATTGCTCTCATCCAACTAACCAGATGTAGATAAGGAAACCATACACAATGGGATTTTCCTAGGAAGTTTCCATTTTATTCCTGTCCAGGTTAGTGTTCCTCGGTACAGAAAATGATCATTGTAGTACAGATTCCAGAGTTCAGAACCTAATACTAATTCACACCAGTAGAGTTTTTCACCAGTAGGGGTCTTACATCTTGAAACAGATCAATTTTGGTGTTGTTTAGAGAACGATAAAAGACAACAAAAATTACCACAACTGCATTGTATATTATTATAATTTTTCTATTTTATTATCAGTTATTGTTGCTAATCTTTTGCTGTGCTTAATTTATAAATAAAACTTTATTGTAGGTATGTATGTTAAGGAAAAAAACAGTTTATGCAGGGTTTGGTACTATCTGTTGTTTCAGGCAACCACTGGGAATCTTGGAATATATTCCCCGTAGATAAGGAGGGACTACTGTAATTGTTATAAGAGTGAAAATTTTCCTCCGTGTTAACATTTTTAGCTATAAGGAAGCTACTATGGGATTGGTTCTATACCCATAGACTTTTAAAACTAATGAACAGATATCAAGTATGGAAATTGTTGTGTCCTTCAGCAATCCCTTTAATGACTTTGGGTCTCAATTTTCCCTGACGGAAAAACAAAAGGATAGGATTCAGTTACCTCTAAAATCTAAGGAGCTTTAACACTCTGAGTGTCCTTTTTCTTATTGTTCTCCCCCTTTTCCTATTTTGTGGCCAAATCCAGCTTTTGTATTCCCTCTACTCCATCCTGGATAAGTCTCCCTGCTGTTCCTTGTCATCCCTGCCAAAAGATACCTCTTAGAGACTGTTAGTCAGAGACATTACATAATTATCAACAATTCCAGACTATAAGCCTTAATCAGGGAGAGGACTCTGAGAAAACATAAAAGCAACAGTCATTAGACTGAAATGAGTGGGCAAGAATATCATCAAGGCCAAAATGTGTTTCATGCTGGATTATTCGTTTTGTTTTCCTTTACTTTCTTCTTTTTTTAAATCCTTTTATTTTCTTACTTGGGAAATTCCCAGAAATATTTTGTCCAAATCATATAGAAATGGCAAGTTATAAAGGCTTCTTTGTATCTCCTCCTCATCTCCTAGCTTGGTAGACCCTAATAATTTGTAATAAACCGATTAGCTGGATATACAGTTTGCCAGTAGTGGCTTCTGCTTTTAGTGATTACATATGTTGTAAAATATGTTCATTTATGTATACATAAACATATGTACATACTTTTTTTTCTGTTTCAACTTTAAGGATAAGTCGAAGATTTCCAGCTTGTGCTGAAAAATCAAATGACTAAGATGGCCAACTAGATGCAGCCGGGTGGAACAGCTGCCACCGAGGAACTGGGACAACTGGCACACTCCCAACAGATCTTCAGAGAGAAGCCACTGAGAGTGGATGGAGGAAAGACACAGAAGCTGGGCTGAAGAGAAAGGAAAACTGGGAACCTTGCACGAGGCTACCACACACAGAGAGTTTTTCCTGGCCCCTGACAACTCTGGGGGAACAGGTGAGTTGAACTGGAAAGGAGCAACTTGCTCTTGCCACAGGCCTCTGGAATTCCAGCAGGAAGAGACGCTTTGACCACCATGGAAACTTGAGTTGGCAGGGAGAGCTTCTTAGAAAAATAGTAGGAAAAGCACACCAGCCAATGTGGAGCCCAGAGGGTTTGGTGTGGGAGCATCTGTAGCAGAGCACGGCGAGGAATGCCCATCCCCATAGGCTCAACTTGATCCCATAGAAGACTTTAGCCCTAGGGGAAATATTGGACCTGAACTCTGCAGGAAGGCCTTGCCCACTAGAAGGGGCCAGTTCCACCTGATCATCCCTTGGTCTGCTGGTCATTCCTGGGGAGCCACCTTGGCTGCACCTGCTTGTAGTGCAACCTTGGGTGTCCTGGGGGCCTGTGTCATACCTCCCGCACTGATGGACCATGCCTGATTACCAGAGAGCTCCAGTGGCGCATCCCTCATGACCATGCACCAACCTATCTACACCCTCCCTAACCACAGCTTCTCTGGACCCACAGCCACCCCCCCCGCCCACATTACTTTGGCAGTTCATGTGTGCAGGTGAATTTTGACTCCCCAGCCCCACTAGCATGCCTGTGTGTGTGCACCCTGCCCTGCCACTGCTGCCAACGGGAGTGCACACTGCCCTCCCTCCCCACTTTTACCACCATTGCAGTCGGAGCCTTGGCGGGCAACAAGGCCACCATCCCCACCCTGGCCAGCACCCTGCCCCTGCACCAACACTGCTGCAAGAGTGAAACAAGGCAAAGAAAATAGCGGATCCTCTTATTCCCTGAGCAACCCCACCTATATGAATCTGTACAGACAGTGCATTCAGACCTGTGCCTGCCTGTGCCCTGCCCCTGTGCCAACACCCCTACTGGCACAAACACATGCACAGTTGCTAGCAGGAGCCCTCCACATCCCTGAGCCATGCTGCCTCAACTGCTTCTGTGAATGCCCACATAGAAGCAAGCACCCCAGCACACACTAGCACCCTGCTGCAGCTGAGGAATGTGTGTCCTACCATGCTACCGCTGCCACTGTCGCTGGCATCAGCAAACTATGATGGATTCTGCCGCCACTGCCCTACGAAAAGCTTTGGCTTGCACCACCTATCAAAGTGTAGAGACAAGTGGTCTGGGAGCACCTTGGTTCCTCCAATTGCGGTGAGTTCCTAAACTTGAAGAGTGAGAGAACAAAGTCGGGGCCTGATACAAGTCCCCCAGACTTAGAGCAAGCAGTCCAGGAGTTGGGAGCTGAGCCTTGGCCCCCTACATCTTCCATAAATAAAACCAGTCTAATGAACCCACCTAGTACCACAATCAAACCCTCAAGGACATCAGATGGGATAAAGGAAAAAAGCAACTTCAAAAGGACAACAACTTCAAAGAATAAAGGAATATCAGCCCACAAAGATGAGAAAAAAGCAGTGCAAGAACTCTGACAAATAAAAAAGCCAGAGTGCCTAATTCCTCCAAATGACCACACTATCTTTCCAGCAAGGGTTCTTAACGAGACTGAGAAGGCTGAAATGGCAGAAATATAGTTCAGAGTATTAATAGTAATGAAGATCATTGAGATGCAGGAGTACATTGAAACCTAATCCAAGTAAGCAAAGAATCAGAATAAAATGATACAGGAGCTGACAGACAAAATAGCCAGGATAGAAAAGAACATAACTGACCTGGTAAAGCTGAAAAACACACTACAAGAATTTCGTAATGCAGTCACAAATATTAACAGCAGAATAGATCAAGTTGAGAAAATAATCTCAGAGCTTGTAGACTAGCTATTTTCAAATTGCTGCTTTCTGATGCCTTGCAATGCTCTGAAATTTCAAAGTTGTTTGTGACAAAACTTAAACTGCTTAGACTCTGCAACTCCCAATATGTCTGTGATTCTTACGGAGGAAAAAAAGGACAATGAAAAGACTAGCAAAATTGTTTTACTAGTTAAAAATATTAGAAAATATGTGTTCACTCACTCGTTGAGTAAACATTTATTAGATGTTTTTATAATCTGCTAAACATCATAGGAATTGGAGGTAAAGATGACACAAATTACTTTTCTTCTGAAAGGACTTATAATATTTAAGAGGAGACATACTGTCAACAAAGACTTCAAATGTAATGTCCTAAGTGTAAGTAATGTCTAAGATCATGGCCTGGGGAGGAGAGAAACTTTGGTTGCTTGTGACCAGCATTTCTTCATCAACACACTTGTTTTCTGAAGTGTCGCTAGCAATTTGCAAAAAGAAACAAAAACAGTGCAAATACTAACATTTGTAAATTACTTTCTTTTGCTATTTTTATAATATATTCAGGTTAATTTTTTATGCTTACTTGGACTCATTTGTCTTTTGATGTTTTCTTGAATGGGGCAAATGTGGAGATATTAGAGCTAGCAGAAAGGGATTATATAGGACCTTGACTCATTCTTCCTTATGTCACTGCCAACACAGAGTACTTTAACAGCTGAGAGAAAGAAGAAAAAACATAGCATTCCAAAGCTGAGATTTAACTTACTTTAACTTACTTTTCTTTCCAACTTTACCTATGACAATTTTTTTATAAGCAGAACTTCAGGTATTCTTAAACACACATACACACACACACACACACACACACACACACACACACACTGTATTATCATTTTCTTTAATGTATTTGCAAATTTGGTGGATTTTTTTTGGTAGGTGGAGGAGTTTCATTAAAATCTGGGCATGAAAAACAGAACATTTCACTCATGAAAGTGACACGTTGGAGAAATCCTGAGACCCATTGATCACAAGATTCAGACTATGCTAGAAGAAAGAGTATTTGCCACATTGAGGAGTTTGAACTTGTCATTGAAACTATTTTAAGCATTTTACTTATATGATCAGATCTGCATGTTAGACCAGTCCCTCTTTTGGATGTGTAGAGTATGAGTTTGTGTTGACTGAAAATGGCAGAAATAATATAAATAAAGATACTTTTGCAATAGTTCCAGCCATAAATAAAAGGGCTTGGTGTTAGTGTTGAGTGGAGTAGGGGAATGACTCTAGAGAGGTGGGGACAGATTTGAGATATATTACAATGGTAAAATGTATATATTAGTAACCAATATGTTCTAGTTCAGGTTTCTGCCTTTTATTATGAAGATCGAGACAGATTTGGAGGAACAAGGTAATAGATGAATTTTAGAAAACACTAGAGTTTGAGTTATCTCTGAAATGTATAGAAGTGAAAAGTGTAGAATTACATGAAGCAGTCAGTGTTAAGGTATGGGGCTAAATATAGTAGGGCTGACTGGAGGGAAATGCTTGGGGGTTATTATTGGTTTATAAGTGGAAACTTAACATACGGGCTTTTGATTAAAGAGAGAGGCTGAGAAAGGGCTCTGAGTAAACTTACTTGAGTGGTTAAAAAAGAAAAATGATGTTTTGATTGACCTTGAGAAGTAGAGATCTGAGATTTGAGCAAAAATCTGTAACAAATTTAAAAATGAGAAAATGGGAGAGTTTGAAGGAGAAGAGATTTTCAGCAATGACAATCAAACACAGCAGAAAAAATAAGTTAAAACTAAAAAGTGCCATTATGATCTGCCAATTAGAAATCAGTGAGTACAGCAGTGAGAATGGAGTTGTTGAAATGCTGTAGAAAATAGCAAGATTACAGTGGATTGAAAAGTTAATGGAAGCTGGCAAAATTGTGCCATCAGATGAACCAACCCTGGATTTATGCTTCCTGAGGCAATGTCCATTCAAGTGACATTTCGAGTCTATTTCTCTTCAACATTTAAAACTAATTTCTGAGGATACATAAACAGATAGTGTGGACCAAGAAAGTACCTCTTTTTCTTCAGATGTTTCTTTTACTGAATCAGCTAACTTATTGAAGCAGGACCTCCTTCCGGGCAAGAGAAGAACCATATTTTGGATCCTGAATACACGACTAGGTAAGTGCCTCTACTCTACTAGAATCTTCAAATAAGTCCTCAAGTTAAACTTGCAAATAGAGAACCAGCTAAGGAAGAACACAGTGTGTTGTGAGTATAACACTCTATTTGTAGTTGCACAGTCTGGGGAGTTAACATTATTTTTCATCACAAGCAAAGCTGAGGGACTTAACATAATAATGTTTAATTCTCATACAAATCCTGGTTATGTGACTTTTCGCTGAAGATGATGGTGGTCTCTAAGCTCCTTTCATGTTGTGTAACTCTATCTTCAGCAAATGGTTTTAAGATTGCTATTACAGTATTTAGTCATCAAAAGGAATGGGTTTGGAGCTTAAACATGTCACACTGACATTTAAATGTCTCAGTTCAGAAATAACATACTACTGACAACCGCTTTCATTGACGAGAACTAGTCACATGGCCCCATATAGAGTCCAGGAGGCTGGGGAATATAGTTTAGCAGCTAGGATATAGTTCCCCTTGCCTTGGAAGAGGAAATGGGTTTGGTGAGTATCTGATCAGTTTCTACAAGAGTCTTCCCTTTGCTTATCACATATATTATTCCTTCCTTCACTACATGTAGACAACATTCTCCCCTTCCTCAGAAAGAGATCTCAACTTTCCACCAGTTACTCCATCCAGCTCAAAGTGTAGGATTCCTGGTTCCTATACATTCAACACAGATGAGATTCCCAATGCTCTGGCAACCTACAAGCTAAAAAGATAGGTCATCTTCTTTTCATACCACATCTAATTAAAAAATGTTGGATCGGAGGCATATTCACAACAATAACCATCCAAAATTAGAAAGAAACAAATGGGAACATAGAATAGTTTTCAATATGTTCAATTGTGAAATCCCAAGAAACAGACAGTGAGAAAGTACAGATACTGATCTCTGTATAGAACTCGCATCTCCATTGTTCTCCATGGCTCCTGACTTTACCCTATAAGAGATTCTTCCCTGTCCATGATTCTTTTTAATGACATAAAAATAAGTTTTGAAGATTATACCTTCCTAGTTTGCTGTGCAGCTGTTGTAGCTACCTTGTTATGCAATGATTGTTCAAGACTCTTTGAAAAGTTACATTTTTTCAGATAAAGATTTTTGGTTGATTTTGTAATACGGTTCCCTCAAAAACCTAGTAGGCATCAGATCTGCATTTTTCCATATGCCAGTGACCTCTCTCACAATCCTTTCCTAGTCATTGTTTTAAAATCTGCTTTATTTCTGTGCCCATTCACCCTTTACTTTGTTCTCTCAATATAATGGAAGCTATCTTCATGAGGCTATCAGTTTGAGTGGAGAGGCTATACCCTTAGTCAGACTTTTGTTATAAGGTGGAGTCACTATCTTCAACTGAGAAATGTTATTACATCTTTGTTGTTCAAAGTCTTTTCTGATTTCAAATACAACTGAAGTCCAGAAGCTCTTGTTTCTTTCCAGAACTGTAAGACTATAAATACGAAAAAGTGAAAGAATTGTAAGAAAATGAAGAACTGTAAGCATATCCATATGAAAACAATGTAAAACTGAATTTCTCGAATCAGTATTCCACTTCATTTATATTTGAAATAGACATATTCTTTCCAGATATCTATATAAATCAAATATACCTACTGACCACCTAAACTTTTGAATTTTTGCTTTTTAAACATCTTTCCCTCAAATTAAAACCCAGTGGAGTCTAGTCTGTCTCCTAATTATTGCAGGCAACAATGTTACCAAATGTCTTGCTCATTCATAACACGCCATCTCTCTAGACTCTGATGTTAGGTTCTTTGTTGTCTCATTCCTATTTTCATTATTGTATTGAAAATTGTAATTTTTGTTATAAAAGCACTTTACTTCAAGGTACTAAATTTTGTATTGTTCATGTTAGATTGGCTAAAATCTCAGTAGATTAACCCAAAAAGAAATTATCGCTCATTCACATCAGAGTTCAATAAGGTCAATAATGGAGGTGTCCACTCTTTTAAGTCACCCAGGGAAACAGGATTCTTTCATGTTGGGACTTTGCTCTTGTTATGATTATCCTTTAGAGATGAGATTGATTCTCACTCAAAATTTGGTTTTGATATCAAGACTCTTGATGCTATACACACACATACTTTTTTTTTCTCACATAACGAGGCTTTTTGGGGAGAGCAGGACAGGCTCCCAGTAGGTTATAAATGTGTTGAGAGAGCAGAGAGTTGTGATTGGCACAGGGTGTTCAAGTGGTTAGAGAATTAGGCTACACAGAGGGTTCCGTCATGTGGGTAGAGCCATGCATGGTTTAAACTTCCCGTTGAAATCAAAAAAGGGATCAGCCAGATTTTATCAGCTTGCCCCAATATGAGCAGACGGGGGAAAGGGGAGAGTGAAGCTTGAATACTACCAGAAGTCAAATATCAAAAACTGAATCCAACTCTATTAAAGCTTTCTTCTACATGTGACCTCCAAAATTGCTGGGAAAGGATAAGAGAGTGGAGGTTCGTACACTGCATTAGTTTATGGTATAGGTCTGGAACTCATCTTTGTAACTTCCACCTATAATCCATTGAGCATGACTAGTCATATTCCCACCTCTCTTTCACCTTCTCCCAAATACAAAAAGGTAAAATGTAATCATCCTGCGGACCCAGGAAAAATGTGAGATGGTTTCATATACACTTAGGCCCAGGCCTGATATGCTTAGTTGTGTGATTTAATTATGAAGATTCTGAAATAAAATAAATAACCAGGGACGCTATAAATACTCAGATAGTTTCATCAAGCTTATAAAGTGATAACTATGCAATTTCATGAATACAGAGCAATAAAATCTCTCCACAATTCTCCATTTGATGAATTTTATGCCTTTAGCATATGCTACTAAGGCAAAGAAAAAGAATATGAAAGTGAAGATGAATCATTTTGAGCACTTTAAAATCCCTAAATATATTGTATTACACAATAAGCATTTAAGTTGTGTTTTCTATATGAGGGAATAATCATGCGGAATAATAAACAAACTTGTGTCTTCTAAACAGTGTTAAAACCATGATGGACGTTTTCTTCTTGGCCTAAACATGATTTTCCCAGAGTCTGGTATGTAATGAATGGTAACAAAATTATGTATTGAATAAATAAATGAATAGGTGAATGAATGGATAGATGAATGCATGATTTGGATGTTACTGGCAGATATCTGCCTATTATAAAATGCTACTTCTATTTTCCTTCGGTTGGAGCATAGAAGTACACTCACCGTGAGTGAGAACTAGTAGGAAGAAAAAACACAGAAATTAGTGTCAGAACAATTTGGATTAATGACAGTGTTTTGAAAGTATGTCACTGTGTGATGTTGGACAAGTTATCAGTGGGAATCTCATTTTCCTATAGTGTCACATTAGGATAGGCTTGTTATGTGAATTAAGTAATTAACTGATACAAAATATCTGAAATAGTTTGCATGATTATAAATGAGGTTTCATTGTAATTACATTTTTACACATTCTGATTTTCTACCCTAGACATTCCCTTCACTCCACTCTTCTACACAAACCCATATCCACCCTCCTCTTATTCTCCCCCAACCCCAACACAAAGAGACCACCACAGACACCATGGATAAAAGCCCCAGACTATGAAAAGCCAGGAAAGGCCTTCTGGACTATGTGTCCTTGAAATGAAAAATAAGTTTTTGACAAACTATTCCATGAGGTGATTTCAAGTTATTCATAAGAAATTTCTTCTCCATATTCATTTGTTCAAATTACTTTCTGTGGTTTTCTGAATGAAATTAATCTTCCTTCTGTTGTGTTCATAAATTCTCCTTACTCAGCCAAATCCTTTATCTCTCATCAAGAGACAGAGGTAATTTGTGACTTTTAATTTTCTCTTCTGATAAGTCCTTTACTAGTTTAGGGACTTCTCTCTAACCCAATCTTTCTCTCTTTTGTTTTGAAATGAGATCTTTTATTTTATTATTTAAGAATTTTGAATCCTATGCAAATTTTTAGCTGAGAAAAATGTTGTTACATCCCTTTATTTTGCTACTAAGGGAATTTATAATTGAGTTAAATATTATTGATTACAATTTTGTGCATTTTATTTGTTTTTCTGTTTTTCAAAGACCTTCAGTATTTGGCAACATTAGGATATAGTAGAGCAAAAGCAAAGATAAAATATGCATGGAATAAACAAATATCATGTAAAAGCAACACAGAGCCAAAATATTAGCACGAATTAGAACAAAACAAAAAAGTACGTTTAGGCAAAACGTAATCATTCTGTTCTTTTATTTTCAGTTACTTCAATTTCAGTAAAAAGGAAAATAACAAAAGAATCCCTTTGAGTGTATACAGCAGGGAAACAATTCACTTCAGAAATGAAATGAGTCAAGACTGTACCCAGGCATGGTGGCTCACGCCGCCTGTAATCCCAGCACTTTGAGAAGCCAAAGCGGGTGGATCATGTGATGTCAGGAGTTCAAGACCAGCCTGGCCAACATGGTGAAACTCCCACCTCTACTAAAAATACAAAAAAATACAAAACATATCTGGGCATGGTGGCACACGCCTACAATCCCAGCTATTTAAGAAGCTGAGGCATAAGAATCATTTGAACCCAGGAGGCGGAGGCTGCAGCAGTGAGCCGAGATGGTGCTACTACACGCACACACACACACACACACACATACAAGTCAAGACTATGTTCACAAATCAATGGAGATCAGAATAGTGGAACTTTCTGATGAACACAATTTTTATACCATTATCTGATTTGTTCTATTTTGTTATTTACCTATGATGTATTCTTTATGTGTACACCGAGTTTTAGCTTCTGCATATGTGCGAAAAAAATTATTGAAAAGTAGGGAACTCTCAGTTAAAGTTTTGCACAATATTTACTACAACAAACTGATATATAAATATATTTTAGGTCAATCTTTTGAGGGACTGATGTAGAAATGTTATTGCCAAGGAATGCTCCCAAGGGAAAGAGGAGACAAATATTTCTTGAGTCTCTAATCCAAATGTTCAGTGTTTATTTTTCCTCAGTCTTTCCTTTGAAGAGATTTCCCAAGTACCCCTAAACTTTCCGTTTTTAAGATAACTTTAACATTTTGCTCTTTATCGTCCCTGTCTTCTGTATTAGCCTCCTTCCCATTATGTTTCCTTTTCTTTATGTTGATCTTGTATTTGAGCTAGAAATATTCTTATGACTTTCAAGTTTCTCAGGTGACAATTTAGATTTTATATAACATGAAGCTTATATAATCTTGAGGAGACTCTAAGAAAAAGTACATAAATTTGTTATAACCAGACAGGACTTTGTAAGGAATCTGTGGAAGTGAAAGACCCTGGAGTTTGAGCTTCACTAGCTTCATGATAGATCTGTGCATTATGGTTAATCCACGCCTTTCCTGCTCTTTCTTTCCATTTATTTCTCAGCATACATTTACTAGAGGACAAAATATAACAAGGCTTCTACTGTTGTTATTCAGTGCCCTATTTTCACTAACTGAGGTAGCTAGTTGTGTAAAGAAGCAACTGTGGACTTGGTAGAAATCCCTGGAGATTAAATTCATACCAATGTATATCTGTCAAGGAACTAAATTGAATCTAGATCGGACTCAATTGTTTAGCCATGCAACTTTCACTTTGAAAGAGAATAAGCTGAAGATAAAGAGGCATGGATAAAAAGAGTTACATATTGAAACCAGTTTTGTATTTCTTATGGTGAAAATTAATACATAAATACAAAAGGAATTTTGGAAAAAGTTGCAAAGAGTGAGTTAAAAGATATATCAACCTATTTATTTATAATGAGCTGATCTTTAATACTCCTACTCCTACTGCTAGAGAAGCAGTATAAAGTGACAGAAAAACTGCAGACTTTGAAATTAAATTGACCTCAATAAAAAGTTGAGTCTGACACTCTCTGTGAGATTATAACACCTCTGAGGTTTTGTTGTATCAAATATGAATTGGAGAAAAGAATGACCAGGTTGTTTAGAGTTTTGTTATAGTATATGTGAGTGTACATAAATAAAGTTAAATAAATCAAAGTTATTTGAGTTTCATTAATAAGCTATATACCTATATACATATATATAATATGTATGTAGCATACACATTAATGAATATAATTGGCATTAAATGAGGATTAAAGTTTAAAGGTGTACGATGATCCATATTTAGGGCAGAACAGTAAGCACATTATTTACATACTTTTCACTTTAATTTCTATGTCCAAAGTATTTTTCCAAAACGATTTTGCACTTTATAAAATTGTGGCAATAATGGAATGTCGTTGTGAATTTTAAACGTATTATTTCCTTCTTGCCTTCCAAACCTTGAACCAGAGAACCACACACTATCACCCCCCAACTGAATGATAACAACTGTAAATTAAGCTGATATCTCCATTAAGCATTTATATTTATAAAAACATTAAAGTAACATTTTTCTATCCTTATAAGCACTATTCTATTTAAAGTAATGAGCCAGGTTGAACATAAATGTATCTAAGCTATGTGAGGTCAAAAGTATTAATATTAGAAGTCTTAGGGAAAACACAGTCTGGAACAAAGGGCAGTTAGTACCTAAGTCAAAAGACACATACAATGAGAGAGACCTGTGGAGAATTGTTTCCCATTACGAGCCAAAATCACAATCTTGCCCTACAACAGTTTGCAAAAGTTATTTTTCTCTATTACAAACATAAATATATATGTTTGTTTAATTGTTATTGTATTTAAAAATCATTTATAATTTAAAAAATTATGGCATAATTTACATGCAAAATCTTTTACATTTTAAAATTACACAGTTCAGTGAGCTTTGACAAATACATACACCCACTTCAACCACCATCCCAGTTAAGATAATGAACACTTCTATCATTCCAGAAATTTTCCTCCTTCCCTTTTCTAAGAAATCTATCAATCTAGGCAGAGGCAAAGACTGTTATTTATCACTTATTTTTTTCCTAGTCTACAATTTTATGTCAAAGGAAGCACATAGTATGTACACTTTTGTGTCTTGTTTCTTTTGATCAACGTTGTTTGTTGTTGTTGTTGTTGTTTTTTAAGACGGGTCTCGCTCTGTCACCCAGGCGTGATCTCGGCTCACTGCAACCTCCACCTCCCCAGGTTCAATCGATTCTTCTGCCTCAGCCTCCCGAGTAGCTGGGACTATAGGCGCACGACACCATGCCCGGCTACTTTTTGTATTTTTAGTAGAGACAGGGTTTCACCATATTGTCCAGGCTGGTCTCGAACTCCTGACTTCGTGATCTGCCTGCCTCGGCCTCCCAAAATGCTGGGATTACAGGTGTGAGCCACCGTGCCAGGCTGATCAACATCGTGTTTTGAGATTTTTTTACATTGTTGTGAACATCAGAAGTTCAAATCATTTAATACATACTTAGCAGTGAATTCAAGAAACATAGGACAATATTGGTAAACATTTGGATTGTTTACAAGTTTTGTCTAAAATGATTAAAGCTGTTATGAACATCCTTGTGTACATATTTTTGCTGCTATATATATAATATATATATTTTGCTTCTCTAAGATACAAAAAATTTTGTTTTGTTTTACTCTAAGAAACTCAGTTATAGTCAAAGGAAAGGCAAACAAGTGGGTCAAAAGTCACTCTCACATATTGTTGCTGGGAGTGTAAATGGTGTAAATGTTATAGAGGTAAATTGGTTAGCATGTAACAAAAATCTTTTTCATATTGTTTTATAGTTGCAAACATATAATCTTATGTAGATTTTTAGAAATGTGATTGAATTCAAGGGAAACATGCTTATGAAGAAACTAAGATACTGGCTGGGTGCAGTGGCTCACGCCTGTAATCCCAGCATTTTGGGAGGCCAAGTCAGGCAGATCACGTGAGGCCAGGAGTTCAAGACCAGCCTGGCCAACATGGTGAAACCCTGTCTCTACTAAAAATACAAAAAATTAGCCGGGCATGGTGGTGGGCGCCTGTAATCCCAGCTACTCGGGAGGCTGAGGTAGGAGAATGGCTTGAACCTGGAGGCAGAGGCTGCAGTGAGCCGAGATGGAGCCATTGCACTCCAGCCTGGACAACAAGAGCGAAATTTCTTCTTAAAAAAAAAAGAAAGAAAAAAAAATTGAGATATTTATCTTACCTTAAATCAAGACTTATTCTAAAGTTATAGTAAATGCAATTATGTAGTGTTGTTATAGATAGCTAGACCTAAGGAATAGAAATGAAAAAACTGGCTCATATGACTCAGTTGATTTATGACAGAGATAGCACTATGTATCAGTGGGGACGGAAATGACTATTCAACAAGCAGTATTGAGATAATAGGAAATTTAAATGAGACAAAAATATATTTAATCCCTATCTAATACCATGCACACAAAATGTCAATTCCTTGTGTAGTAAAGATGTCCATGTGAAAAGCAAAGATTAAAGTACTTAAAAGATAAATTTGAAAAATATTATTTAGGGCATCTCCATATAGTAAGACATAAAAAGCATAAATCATAAAGGAGAGGATTAATAAATAGAACAACATTATCTTAAGATGTTCTGTTCATCATCAAAAAATAAAAGTCACACACTGAGTTTGGATAGTTTCAAATTATAAAACTAACAAAAATTAGTTTCTAGAATATTTATATTTGAAAATTGTAATCATCAATAAAAATAGAAACTATTTTTTGGAAGAAATAGTCAAAAGTCAAGAAAAGTTATTTTATAAATGGAAACACGTAATATACATATAAAGAGATATTTAGTTTCATCAATAATTAATAAATATAAATTAATTCCACAATTAGAGATTATTTCATACTCACCAAATTGACAAAAATAGAGAGAATATGATAATAATAATAATTGTTGACAAGAATGAGAGCTTATGAAAATGCTTACTGGTTGCAAATTGAGAGCGTAAGTTAGTTCTCATTAGGTTCTGATGGGAGTGTCAGAAAACCTAAATTATCAGTGAATTATCCTAAATAGTGGCTTATTTCGCCCTCACATAGTATTAAATATCCATCACTATTATTGAGATTATCATCTGTACTATCTTCATTCCAGCAAGGAGAAACTAAAAATGAGAAGTATGGTACTCTTTTACCTTTCAAGATTGCGCATCATCTCTGTCTACATCCCATTGGTCAGAACTCAGCCCATGAGCTGCAAGGGACGGAGAACTAGTCTGTCCTACAAACAGGAAAAATTGTGGTTGTTTCAGAAAACAATCTGATATTATTTGACAAGTTAAAGAAGCATAAACCTGACAAACCAACAACTAAAATACTAAGGCTATATCCCAGAGACACACATATTTACAAGGAGATACGGACAAGAATGTTCAAAGCAGCATTTATTTAAAAAATAAGCAAAAAAAATCCGTAACTGTTCATTATTCAAAGAATGGAAAAAATGTTCCATATTCAATGAAATACTGTAAAGGACAGCAACAATTTAGAAATATGATATTGAGCAAAAATGTATGTTATACAATCATACAATCTTCCAGTAGTTATTTTATTCCACAATTACTATACTACACAAAATGTATCTTTAACTCTAAGATCCTATCTCTCAAGTGGGTTCACATGAACCCTACAATTTGGCTAAAAACTGTTATTTGGTTTCAGCTTTTGGCTTCAGAATTTGGAAAGCTGAAGAGCTAAATATCTACTTCATTGTTGTCTCTGGCAGTTTTGAATTGAATTTCATCATGTGATAGCCTAGCTTACTTTATTCTAATCAGTGCAACAATTAATAATACATATAAGACATATCTGGGCTGGACGCTGTGGCTCACGCCTGTAATCCCAGCATTTTGGGAGGCCGAGGCGGGCGGATCACGAGGTCAGGATGTCGAGACCATCCTGGCTAACACAGTGAAACCCCATCTCTACTAAAAATACAAAAAATTAGCCAGGCGTGGTGGCACGCGCCTGTAGTCCCAGCTACTTGGGAGGCTGAGGCAGGAGAATCGCTTGAACCCAGGAAGCAAAGGTTTCAATGAGCCAAGATTGCGCCACTGCACTCCAGCTTGGGTGGAAGAGCGAGAGTCCGTCTCAAAAAAAAAAAAAAAAAAAAAGACATATCTGAATTCATTTGAACACTGGAATAACTGGAATACTTGCTTTTAAAGATAAGTTTCCATTATAAGTATAACTTGAAAAAATCCTATGTGTTGTATGTGTTGAATTTCTATCATTCAGTTTATATGTAAGTTTATATTTACTTTTACAAGAGTATATTTTGTGAAGATCGTAAAGTATACACAAAATAGTTGTTAAGAATTTTCAAATAGTTAAAAAGGAAATAGATTGCCAAGATGACTATTAAGGGACTATTACCTAGAAAATTTATGGATGACACAACATTCTTTTTGAGCCAACAAATGTGTGTATAAATTTAAGTGTCAATTCCAGGCAGAAGAGACTACAGTGTTTGACATATTTGCTTCAAACAGCTTTATGAAAGCTTTTTACTTAGTTGTATTTACTTAATTCCATTTAAGTCTTGAATCTTTCAAGTCCTGTTTCTAAATCCTTCACATCTTGTGAAGATGAAGTAAAAGCAGAATATTAACTTTGCCACCCCAATATTTCCTCAGGAAAACCCCAAAGTTATATACCACACATAATGAAGAAAAAACAGAGAAGTCAAAAAGAAGACAAAGTGAGATCCTCCTCCAGAAATGCTAGTTGAAAGTCAATATGTAGAGCATAAAAAATGAGCAGTGAAGTGATTCCTGGGGCAATCCTGAAGTTTAAAATGGCTGCTAAACTTCAATTATATTATAATATAATTGTTAATACAACATTTTATATGTATTTTTGTATCCCAGAAGTTGATTTATGGCATTGATGAAATCTTGTTTTCAGCTTTTGCTCATTTGGCATTTTGCAAAAATATGTACTCAGTGCCTTCTATTTTATCATTGAGGCTCAGTGCTTGGGCTTTTCCTTTTTAAAGAAAAATTAGAAATGGATACGTTCATTTTTCTTTTAGATCTGCTTAGCCTGGTTCTAAGTTCTAAAATAAATCTCTGCTTATTAGTTTATCGATCCTTTTTTTATTTTACATTCATTTTTCCACTGCTTCTATGCAGAGAGTAAGTCTGAACTATATATTTCAAACTACTCTGAATCTTCTCTGACTTAATCAATTTTATTCTCTAAGACAGAGTATTTTAGGCACAAGTATTTCTGTCCTTTAAACTCTTAGTATTTCAATTTCATTCAAATGTTTCTCTTTCTTAACAACAATAACACATTATACTTATTTTAAATATCTTTCCACTTGTTTATGAATAAAATCTACCCTCCGACTTTAGGCAACAACACCATTTGGGTTAATGAATGCTGAAAACTTGGTCCAAATTTTTGTAATTAGTAAATTCTGGTTGAGGTAGAGATCATATGATGAAGTTTTAGACTAGAGTACATGGAGAACCCATTGAATTTCCTAAGATTGGACAATCTGTTCCCTCAGCCTTATAGTAAAATGACATTAAGAGAAGCTGAATTGGGGGCTTCTGAACAAGGATTACCCACTTATATCTGGCAGGCAACATATAAACTATTGGCCTTTATCTCTCATGATTCTGTCTGCTATTGCAAGTTTAAAATTCAGCATATATATTTGGCTGAGAAAACAACAGAGGTTTTTTGGTTTTGTTTTGTTTTGTTTTTCCTTTTACCCGATGCACAAATGCTTGGAAAGCTCAAACACTTAGAAATGCAACTTGTTTTGATATAGGCCTTAACTAGGACTAAATGGCTTTCTTCTTTGATCATGTAATCCTTGTGTCAGCAGATTCTGCGTGGTTAAAAGCTAAGCTACTGTGGGTCAGGGTAAGGTCAGCCAGAAGTTCCTATTGTTTATGCTTACTGAGGCCTGCCTTGCCTGAAACAGTTAAAAACCTACCAAAATATAAACTGCTGCAATCCACCAAGGTCAAAAAGCCACATGACATAAAAGCATTGATATATGATGTCTCTTGCCCAGGCTGTGCCAGAAACATAATCTTTTATTCTCCAAATATCAGCTCAAGGTTTCCATGGAATGATGCAAGATATTGGGGTATTAGGTGATCATTGAATAGCAACCCTATGGCCTGAACCCAAGTTAGAAACTAGTTGAGAGACAGGCAAAAAGTCAAATTTTCTCCCGTTCTGTGAATTGTCTCTTCATTTGGCTGATTGCTTCCTTTGCTGTAAAGAAGATGTTTTTATTTGATGTGATCCAATTTGCCTATTATTGCTTTGGTTGCCTGTGCTTGTGGGGTGTTACTCAAGAAATTTGTGACCAGATCAATGTCCTGGAAATTTTCCTCAATATTTTCTTACAGTAGTTTCATAGGTTAAGGTCTTAGACCTAAGTCTTTAATTCATTTAAATTGGATTTTTGTATAAAGTGAGAGACAGGGATCAATTTTCATTCTTCCTGCATATGGATATCAAGTTTTACCAGCACCATTTATTGAGGAGACAATCTTGTCCCCAATGTATGTTATTCACATCTCTGTCAAAAATGAGTTCACTGTAGGTGTGTGGATGTGTTTCTAGGTTCTCTATTATGTTTTATTGGTCTATCTGTCTGTTTTTATGCCAGTACCATGCTGATTTGGTTACTATAGTTCTGTAAGATAACTTAAAGTCAGGCAATGTGATTTCAACAGTTTTGTTCTTTCTGCTCAGGAAAGCTGTGGCTATTTTGGGTCTTTTGTGATTCCGTATAAATTTTAGAACTGTTTGTTCTATTTCTGTGAAGAATGTCATTGGTATTTCCGTAGGGTGGCATAAAATCTATAGATTGCTTTGGGTGGTGTGGACATTTTTACAATATTGAGTCTTTCAATTCATGAACATGAAATATCTTTTCATTTTTTTGGTGTTCTCTTCAATTTATTCCATCTGTCTTATATAGTTTTAATTTAATTTCTTTCATTTCTTTGGTTATAGACATTTTATTTTGTGGCTACTGTTAACAGGATTATTTAATTTTTTTTTCAGATTGTTCACTTCTGGCATATAGAAATGCTACTGAGTTTTGTATGCAGATTTTGTGTCCTGCAACTTTACTGAATTTCTTTAAAAGTTCTAATAGTTTCTATGTGGAGTCTTTAGGTTTTTCCAAATATAATATTATATCATCTGAAAACAAGTATATTTTGACTTCTTCCATTCCAATTTGGATGCCCTTTATTTCTTTTTCTTTTATTATTGCTCTGGCTGACTTCCACTACTATGTTGAATAACAGTGGTGAAAGTGAGCATCATTTTTGTTTTCCAGATCAAAGAGGAAAGGCTTTCTGCTTTCCCCATTCCGTATGATACTAGCTGCGATTCTCTCATATATGGCTTTTATTATGTTGAGGTATGTTCTTTATATACCCAGTTTTTGAGGGTTTTTATCACGAAGAAATGTTGAACTTTATCAAATTCTTTTTCAGTATCAATTGAAATGATTATGTTTTTGTGCTTCATTTTGTTGACATAATGTATCACATTGATTGATTTGCATATGATGAACCATGTTTGCCTCCCTGGGATAGATAACACTTGGTCATAATGAATGATCTTTTCAATGTACTGTTGAATTCAGTTTGCTAATATTTTATTGAGGACTTTTGCATCAATATTTATCAGATATATTGGCCTGTAGTTTCCTTTTTTTGATATGTCTGTCTGGTTTTGGTATCAGTGTAATACTGGCTTCATAGAATGAGTTTGGAAGTATTTCCTTTTACTCTATTTTTGAAAGCATTTTGTGTAGGATTGGTATTAATTCTTCTTTAAATGTTTGGTAGAATTCAGCAGTGAAGTCATGACGACCCAGGCTTTTCTTTACTGGAAGACGTTTTATTACAACTTCGATATTGTTACTTGTTATTGGTCTGTTCAGGTTTTGTATTTCTTCATGGGACAATCTTGGTAGGTTGTATATGTCAAGGAATTTATCAATTTCCTTTAGACTTTTCAATTTGTTGGCATATATTTGCTCATAGTAACCTCCTTTGAATTTCTACAGTATTAGTCATAGTGTCTACTTTGTCATCTTCAATTGTATTTATTTGGGTCTTCTTTCTTGTTTTCTTGAATAGGCTTGCTAAAGGTTTGTCAATTTTGTTTAACTTTACAAAACAGCAACTTTTTGTTTCATTGATGTTTTGTATTGTTTTCTTCATTTCAGTTTTATTTATTGGTGCTCTGATATTTATTATTTCTTTTCTTCTACCAATTTTGGGTTTGGATTGCTCTTGCTTTTCAAGTTCTTTGAGATGCATTATTAGGTCATTATTTATTGGAATTTTTATGTAGGCACAGTACTAAGTTTCCCTCTTAGTACCGTGTTCACTGTATCCCATATGTTTTGATATGTTGTGTTTCCATTTTCAACTTGTTTTAAGAAATTTATCAATTTCCTTCTTAATTTCTTCATTAACCCACTGGTCATTCAGAAGCATGTTGTTTAATTTTCACGTGTCTATATAGTTTTCAAAATTCCTCTTGTTATTGATTTCTAGGCTTATTCCATTGTGATCAGAGAAGATGTTTGATTTTTTTGTGTGTTTTAAGACTTCTTTTCTGACCTAACGTATGGTCTATTCTTGAGAATTATCCATGTGCTGAGGAGAAAAATGTGTATTCTGCAGCTGTTAGATTAAATCTTCTGTAAATATTAGGTCCATTTGTTCCATAGTGTAGTTTAAGTCTGATGATTGTTGATTTTCTGTCTGAGAGATCTGTCCAATAATGAAAAGGAAGTGTTAAAGTCTTCAGTTATTACTGTATTGGAGTCTATCTCTCTCTTCAGCCCTAATGATATTTGGGTTATATATCTGGATGCTCCAGTGTTGGATGCATATATACTTACAATTGTCATATCCTCTTGCTGAGTTGACCCCTTTATCATTAGATAATGACCTTCTTTGCCTCTTACAGTTTTTGTCTTGACATCTATTTTTATCTATATATGTGTAGCTACTCCTGTTCTTTTTTCATTTTTATTGGCATTGTTATCTTTTTCCATCCCTTTATTTTCAGTTTATGTGTACCTTTATAGATAAAGTATGTTTTTTTTTTGTAGGCAACAGGTCAGTGGGTCTTGTATTTTCATTCATTCAGCCACTCAATATCTTTTAATTAGATAGTTCAATCCTTTTACATTCAATGTTATTGTTAATGGGGACTTTTACTATGTGTTTTCTAGTTGTTTTTGGTCTTCTCTTCCTTCTATTCATCCTTTTAGTAAAGGATTTTCTCTAGTAGCATGTTTAAATTTCTTGCTTTATATCTTTTCTGTATCCATTGCGTGATTTTTGATTTGAGGTTACTGTGAGGCTTGGAAATACTATCTTACAGCCCACTACTTTAAACCAATGACAAATGAACACTGACTGCATAAACATGTGAACAAACAACACACAGAAAGAAAATTAATAAAAGTTTACACTTTAACTTTGTCCCCCTGCTTTTTAAGATTTTGTTGTTTCTCTTTGATTGGTTCATCATTTAGTCTTTCTCCATAAGACAAGTGTAGCTTACACACCAAAATTACAGTGTTAAACTATTCTGTGTTTTTCTGTGTGCTTACTATTACTGATGAGTTTTGTACCTTGAGATGAATTATTTTTGCTCATTGACATCCTTTTCTTTCAGATTGAAAAACTCTCTAGCATTTTTTTTTTTTTTTGAGATGGAGTTTCACGCTTGTCACCCAGGCTGGAGTGCAATGGCATGATCTCGGCTCACTGCGACCTCCACCTCCTGGGTTCAAGGGTTCTCCTGCCTCAGCCTCCCAAGTAGCTGGGATTACAGGCACCCACCACCATGCCCAGCTAATTTTTATATTTTTAGTAGAGACTGGGTTTCACCATGTTGACCAGGCTGGTCTTGAACTCCTGACCTCAGGTGATCCACCCACCTTGGCTTCCCAAAGTGCTGAGATTACAGGCATGAGCCACCGCACCTGGTCGAAAAACTCTCTAGCATTTCTTGTAGGACAGGTCTGGTGTTAATGAAATCCTCAGCTTTTGTTCGTCTGAGACTGTCTTTATTTCTGCTTCATGCTTAAAAGGTTTTTTCAGCCTATTCTAAGCGTCATAAGTTTCCACCAGATAAACAGCAATGCCACGAAGACTTCAAGGTTTAACACCCACGATTACCACAATTATTAGTGGCTGAAATAAAGAGATTAGCCTTTGCTTTTCCATCCAAAAAAAAAAAAAAGATTTTTGCCAAATATAATATTCTAGGATAAAAGATTTCTTTCCTCAACAACTTTAAATATATTAAGCCACTCTCCCCTGCCCTATAAAGTTTCCATTGAAAAGTCTGCAGCCAGATGTATATGGAGATCCATTGTATGTTACTCATTTCTATCTTTTGCTGACTTTAGGATCATGTTTTAATCCTTGACCTTTGGGAATTTCATTATTAGATGCCTTGAGGTTGTCATTTTTGGGTTAAATCTGCTTAGTTTTCTGTAACCTTTTTACACTTGAATGCTGATATTTTTCTCTAGTTCTCTCTTATTATCTCTTTAAATAAACTTTATAGGTTTATCTCTTTCTCTACCTCCTCTTTAAGGCCAATAACTCTTAGATTTGTCCTTTAGAGGCTATTTTTACTACCTTTGTAAGTGTGCTTAATTGTTTTTATTCTTTTTTCTTTTGTCTCCTCTAACTGTGTATTTTCAAATAGCCTGTCTTCAGGCTCACTAATTCTTTCTTCTGCTTGATTAATTCTGCTATTAAGAGACTCCAATGCATTCCTCAGAATGTCAGTTATATTTTTCAACTCTATAATTTCTGCTTCTTTTTAATTATTTCAATTATTTGTTAAATTTATCTAATGTAATTCTGAATTCATTATCTGTGTTAACTTTAATTTCTTTGAGATTCCCTCAAAGCAGCTATTTTGATTTCTCTGTCTGAAAGGTTATATATCTGTTTCTTCGGGATTGGTCCCTGGTGCCTTATTTTGTTCATTTGGTGAGGTCATGTTTTCCTGGATGTTAATGATGCTTGTAGATATTCATCAGTGTCTGGGCACTGAAGAGTTAGGTATTTATTGTAATCTTCACAGTTTGGGCTTGTTCATGCCTGTCCTTCTTGGGAAGATTTCCACGTATTTAAAGGGACTTGGGACCCAAGACCAATAACACTATGGTTTTTGCAGACTCATAGAGGCACCAACTTGGTGGTCTTGGAAATGATTGGGATGAATTCTCTGAATTTCCAGGCAGAGACTTTTGTTTTTTTCCCATACTTTCTCCCAAATATATAGAGTGTCTCTTTGTTGAGCCACTTGGAGCTGGGGATGTGGTGATGCAAGCACACCTGTGGTACCACCACTGGGACTGCACTGGGTCAGACCTGAAACCAGCACATCCTTGGGCCCTGCCCAAGGACCTTCCCTTTAGGGCAGTGAGTTCTCCAAGGCCCTGAGTATTTCCAGAGATGCTGTCTGGGAGCCAGAGATTGGAGTCAAAAACCTTAGCAATTTACCTAGCGTTCTACTGTACTGTGGCTAACCTGGCACTAAAATCACAATACAAACCATCTCCCTAACTTCCCTCCCCTTTTCACAAGCAGAAGAGCTGCTCCCTGTGGCTACCACCACCACTGGTTCATGGGAAGTTCTGCCAGGCCACTGCTGATGTTCACTTAAAGCCCAAGGGCTCTTCTGTTAGTTTGTGGTGAATGCTGTCAGGCCTCGGACTCACCTTTCAGGACTGTTAAGCTCCCTTCTTTCCCAGGGCAGGTCCAGAAATGCTGTCCCACCACCTAGGCCTGGTGTCAGGAAACCCAAGAGTCATTTGGTTTTCCAGTGGGGTCGGAGAGCAAATGTTGTAGGCTTCTATTCCATTATCTTGCTCCTAAACCTGTGTTATTCATTTTTAGTATGAGAAAAGAACATAATGAATGGTCAAATATCATGAAGAATACTAAATGGTAATGATCTAACAAAGATACTTTTGCAGTAAGTAGAGGAGACATTTGATATCTTTATAATATAAAAATAAATAAATATATTTAGAGTTTATATAAAGCTGTAAGAAACACTTTCAATTTAAAAAAAGAATAAAAACAAGAAAGTTACTGGAGCGAAATACAATAGCTAATAAAAAAGAACAAATATTTCATGTTGTTATTGATTAAAGACACATATATTAAAGAGAAAGAGAAATAAGATTTTATTTTTTTCTATTAAATTAGTAAAGAATTTGTAAAATGCGAATGCTAATGCTGATATTAGTGAGAAAGGCATTTTTATGCATTTTAGCAGGAATATAAGAGAATGAAAAAAGAAATTTGCTAATATATATCAAGTGTCTTAAATATATCCTAACAAGTGATCAAGTTATTTGACTTTCAAGAAGCTCCTTTATAAAAAACAAAAACAAACAAATAAACAAAAAACCCAGCTAGAAATGGACAGAGCAGTATTTATAGTAGTAATAAGTTGGAAATGTCTCAATGGAAACTCTTCAGATTCACAAAGCAGTTGTTCAGCCTTTTGCAAATTTTACATTTTAGAAAAAATAAACAAAAGGACTCTGTTACAACTTTCATCCAAATTGCATTTTTAGTATGTGTATTACCAATTATTAAAAATGTTATAATTGCTAGTTATATAATGTCTGAGTGGTGAGCATTGAATTATTATATTTTTTAAAGAATTTAACTAGTTTTAATAAGTTTTATAGACTGTATTCAAGTATAATTTAAGAAAGTGCAAAAGAGATTGGTTAGCTTTCCAATAGTTTGTGATACCTTTTTGGAAATCAATATCAAAAAATTACGAAGGGTGGAGAAAGATTTATTCAATATCTTCTTAATGTCAGCCTAAATGGCTAGCTGGATAGCTGGATTAATACTTTGTGGGCAGAATGAAGTAAATATAAATTCTATTCATTTTACGGGTTATATCAATACACTGATGTTTTATATGAATAAGACAATGCAATTTACTCTAAATTATTTTTCTGCAAAAATAAAATATTTTACATTTAGAAAAAAGCATAAAACAAATACCCATACAGTTATTTGTATATATTAAGATAAACTTATAATGCATGTGATTCTTATTCTACAATCTTTTCTGGACAATGTCCTTATAGTCCTCATCCTACAGAATTGCCTATAAAATTCACTGTCAGTCAATATTGCCAATTGCCTAAAACCTTACTCTTCCCTGGCTGCTCCCATCACAGCTTTGTATCAAGTTTCCAGAAGGGTATTTAGGAATATCTCTCTGTTTATTCGACCACATGCTGAGATGACCACAGTCCAATTCAATATGGCCTCCTGGTGATTTGTAGTGTCACTGTGTCTAGCACTGAGAATGCATGAAACTTGGTCGGCCTCCCCATTTACAGGAGGTAGTCATTTTCCTTCAAGAGAAGCAAGAGAGTGGGTAGCGATTCCCAGTAGTCAGACAATTTACCAGTCTCAATTTCCCTCCAGCATCCCCTTTTGCTACTTTCAAAATTATGGTCTTCTTTCTTCTAGTGTAACACTATCCTTTCAAGGAACATAGACTTCAGAAAAACAAAATTCAAGGAGATTGTTGTTTCCTGTCTATACAAACCTTCCTCATGGAAGCATCAGAAACTGGTTTGCTTTACAGTAGAGAGGAAGTAAAATATAAAGAAAAAAGAAGAAAGCATGAACTAGTAACTCAACAGCCTTAGCTAGCATTATTTCTATGAATGCTTTTCTTTGAGTGTAATAGGATTATTTTCTGTATTATCAGCTTGAAGAAAAATAATTTTAAAATTCTTATACAATTAAAAAGCAATAAAAATTTGTTTCCAAAAAGATGAGTTTTTAGTTAATGTAGCAAATAAATAGTAGTACCTCTGGAAGTTTTCATTACATGCAATATTCAATGTGTTTCCTAGAAGGTGAAATGATGTCAAATGATAGCTCTAGCTATAAGGAAAACACATATAGTTAATTCCTTATTTCTGGAATCTTTTTTACCCCCCTTTATCTGGCTTGATCTCATGTTAGGAAATTAACAGTGAAGACTTCATGCACTAATTTTTGTGGCATTGTCTGTGACTGCCTCTTCAGTCCACTAATGAAGAAATCAATCTTATTTCCAATGGGGCCAGCTAATTTGTTCTGTCCCTGTTACTGCAGAGTATACCATTCACCCCAGCCAGCTATTCCACTTTCAGCATCATTGGTCATGGGAAGAACTGGATCAGATAACATGAAACAGCAGAAGAGAAAACATTTTTCAAAGCATCATTTATTTCCCAGTAGGGAAACGTTAACATTATCATTCCAAGGACAGTGATCCCTTTTGTTAACTCCAAGTGTAGATTAAGTCAAACCAAGGTGAGTATCTCAATGTATTCTGCAAAAATCTTTCTGGATGTAAAAATATCCAATTCCACTTGGAAATTCTTTTGCATTTTTATGAAGACTCAGACACTGAAATTGACAGAAGCAATTCATACTTTGGAGACTGGGGTTACAGCAATTAACACACACAAAACTATGTGCTGCAAAGCTTTTGGTTCAACAAAATCAATGTTGAAATTCCTTTCCCATCTCCCCACAAATAAGAGAAATATAATTCCAGGTCCTCTACAGTCTCATAGATCAAGTTATGCAAAACGTCATTGAAAGTGCTGAATAAGAGTACTTCCTGGGTCATTTTCCCATCCTGAATCACACACAATTTTTATTCATAAGACCACGTGACTAAATACATCTGGTTATCATTTTGGGGGAGATGCAAAAGGTAGGCAAGGACCTCAGTATGAATCCTCAGACCAATATGATTGATGGAGAAGTACATTGTAACTAAATGTTATCCTAAAACACTTTCTTCTGTTTACCAATTACTATTGGAAAACCCCAAAATGTCTCCTGGGAAATATCCACACACTCTGGACTATTTCTTAGCGATAATAATCACTGTATGTTTATAGCAGTCATTCTTTCTCAATTTTATGGTCCCAAAATTAATACTGTTAAGAGCATTCTTTATTTTTCTACTTAAACCTGACACTTGTTAAGTTAGGTATTTAAGTGAAGTGAGTGGAAGCACTGCAAGCAAAACAAAAGAAAATTAAAAATATAAATAAAGAAAAACAAAAGCTTTATATGTGATGCTAGTAGCAGCTTTTGTGCCTCTCCTTTAAGACAGAATGCCCCCTCTATTAACAATTTCCCAGATGCTTCATCAATTGAGTATATGCCTGTTCAGCTCCTATGTACTTAGCAAATTCATTAGTGTAACCTAAAACATCCTCCATGGAAAACTGTGACAGATTGGACAGGTAGCATGCAGTGTTGCTCTAATCGCTGGAATAAATGCACAAAATCTCTCCTGTGCTAAAATAAATACTCCAAGAAATACTTTTTTCTACTTAAATTACGAAAAGGGGAAACTAGACAATTCTTTGGCTAGCTTATAAACGATACAGTTAGTTTTAATATGAATAAAAGAATCTCCCTGACATTCAAGTACGATTACTCATTTTTGTCACTTAATCTAGGATGGAGAGTGGTAGGAAATTAGACTCTAAGTCTATTCTATTTTACTGTTGATGGTCAGATGTTTAGGGCAAACTATCTTTCAACACTCAAAACTTAGGTAAATGAACAAGTTAGTTATATGATTGCTGTAACAACACAAAGTGATGCTTTTCAATGAAATAAGATATAGATATAAGCAAGCTATTAGATTATCGCTTACATGTACATTCTCTAACTTGCATCTAAAAGTCTCTGGGTAGTATCTGCAGTTTTAACAAGTAATTAAATGAATAATGAAGCTTCAAATCCACAGTATAAGAATAGCACTCATCAGGGTTAAGCAAGACAAGGGATAGCTCTGAGGCTGTGTGTTATTAAATGAAACTGGCTCTGTGTGATTAAAGTAGATGCATGAAGTCATATTACATGTTGTCATTATAAAATGACAGCAGTGATGATAAATTTAGGTTTACGAAAAAGAAAATTGCATCTGTATAACTGCAATTCTATTATGATTTATTTTGAAATTGCCTGCTTTTATATAGCACAGAAAGTTAAAGCATCTCTATCTTGCCCCTTTAAAAGTCTCCCAACTCTCATCACATCTCTATGAACACTGCACTGTTAAAAAGGTCTCCTGAAAATTTCTCAAGTTCTTTCAATATTACAGCATCTGCCAAGAAACATAAAGTTCCATCTAAAAGGAAACAATGGTTCATGACATTTCTTATTCATGATACAGTTCATGTACTTACAAGGGACAGAATATAGATGCTGGTGTTGAACTTTGTCTCTTTCAATTAGCCTTTGAGATTTGAGGGTTTAAAATCAAATAAATGCTTTGTTATATATATTTCACTCATCAAAGAAAATACCTAAAAGGGAATCAACCTTATAATATTTCCTTCCAAATAAGCTTCTCTATTTCTATTTCTATACAGTATAGAGCTACAATTTTCTCAATTATACCAGCTCAAAAACTCAAAGTCATTTTTCAGTTTTCATATTGGTTATGCATGGGGCTAGGATCTGGGAATATGAAGTAAAAAATTCTTTCCCACACAAAAACATAGAACACACTTTGGCAGCCAGCCACCAAGATGTAGCCCAATGATCCTCTTCTCCTGGTATTCATACACTTGTATATTCCCCTCCCACTTTGAATTATGGCTGACCTATTTGACCAATAGGGTACCAGAAAGGTGACAGTGTGAGTCTTCCAAAGCTACGTTTTAGAGGACAATGCAGCTTCTGCCTTCAGATTTTCAATTACTCACCCTGGGAGAAAGCAGTCACTGTGGTGTGAGGACATATAAGCAAGCTTATGGAGAAGCCTATGTGATGGGAGCCTCCTGCCAATAGCCAGCACCAACTTGTAGGCACATGAATAAGTTACCCTGAAGGTGAATAGTCCAGCCCCAGTCAAGCCTTCAGGTAATTACATCCTTGCCCAGCATCTGCCTACAATTTCATGAGATTCTTCATGCCAGAACCCTACCTTCCAGCCAAATGATTCCAAAATTTCTGATCCTCAGGAACTCTAAGAGATAATACGTTTTTATTGTTGTTTTAAGCTGCCAAACTTTTGAAGTAATTTGTTACACACACTCATTATCACCATATAATAAGGTTCCAAATATTAGAAATTCTACCTTCAAATCTCACATGATGCCCTTCTTTCCATTCCCATGATTAAAACCATGACTCAGAACCTCATAAGCAGCTGGGTTTAGCCTTTCATTTCTCCACAACACTGTAGAGTTAATGTGCTGAAGTTACAGCTCTGACCATTTCATTCCCTTGATCAAAAGTTCTAAATAGTTGTCAACTAATTTCCAAGATTGGTTTCCAGTTGTTTATTCTTCCATTTAAAGGCCTTTTACTATACACCATCTTTATCCACTGCTTAGCCTCCATATTATGATGTGTATGCCCAATGCTGGAGCCAAATTGAGTGTCAGTCCTGCCTGTAGGTATTTTCTTATGCTCTTCCCTCCACCTGAAGGCCCTCCTTATACATTTTTGAGTATCAAAGCACAGATCAAATGTTTCTACTTTCATGGAGCCATCCTGTGTGTCCCTGCTGTCTGCAAGGGTTTTCTTACAAGGATGAGGTAGGAGAGCTGCACTTTCCTTGACCTCCCTTGCTCCTATTTCTTGTTTCTGCAGCAATTTCAACTGCTTGCTCCAAGTGCTGTTTTCTTTTTACTCTACTTTATTCCATGCTGGACTTCATCTATTTCATTTTATTATCTCAGACTAATGATAAAAAACTGCTGTTTATAGCAGACTTTTACTAAAAGTTTAAGGTAATGGAGGAGGATTATAGAGCAGTAAGAATCACTGTTAACACTGGATAGAGCTTTTGTAAAATTATTAGCAGAACTCTAAGAACATTTATGTTTTCCTTTCCATGACCATAAGTTCACGTTTTCTTACTAAGACTCAGTTTGGCAGCTTTTTCTTTTACTTTCTCAAACCCCTCATATTTCCATTATACCCTACCTCCTCTCTCTTTGGCTATTATTTCCTAAGAAGACTTATTGTTTTCCCAGCAAGGCAAATTGCTCAACCAAGATGATTTGAAAATAAAGAAACAATATCTTTGAGACAATTTTTGCCACACTTTAGACATAATGAACCATAGTAGTTATTTATTCTCAGATAATCATTTTTTGTATCACATGAAGTTTTTTCTTTCTTATCTTTTCCTGAAATTTGGTATGCCCAAGTAAAAAATAGTACCTTTCCAAGTTTAATTTAGTCTTTCTCTAAACGTTTCTAAATAAACATTTATTTGCTGTCATTTGTCTATGAAATGCTATCCTGAGTCTCAGTATATAATGAAATAAAACCTTGAACATGGATTCCTAACTAGGTCTACTGTAATGTAGGTATTTCTTTTTACTACAAGCCCATCAAATCCTCTATTGCCTGCCTGAAACTACAATTCTTAAATATCCGCTGTCAACCACTTTCCCATTGAAACTCCCTCCTCCTGTACTGAATCAAAACTCACAACAATCACTTCTCTTTTCTATTTGTGTAGATTATCTGTTCCTTGATCACATATGAAACCTTGGCTCATGATAGAAAATATTTTATTAACTCTTTTGACAGCTTGCAACGTATTCTTTTTTGCTTCTAGTAGATCTTCCTTTAAGCAGCACTTGAATAATTATTTTCTGACTGCTTAACTCAAATTATGTCATTTCCCTTCTCAGAAAGAGTTCAATTATTCTATTACCAACTAAGACATTAAATCCAAATTCATGTTGGTGGTCATTTAAGGTCCCTTAGTTACACTTCTATAATTCTCTTTCCAGCCCCCTGTACTTGAGCCTTATTTCTTCTCAGTATTGTTTCCAGCTGGAATGTTTTTAAGATTCTGCTGAGCCTGTAGCAAACTGTCCCATCTCTGTTCATCTCACCTCAGTCTTGTTTGGAGAGGAGAGCGGTTTCATATCCTTTAAGGATAGAATTACTATTTCAGCTTAAATCAACATTCCCATAAAGTAGCATTTCTCCAATATTACAAAGATTTACACAAGCAATGTATACTGTATTAGCTGAATATAGATGCAGAAAAATGTTTAATAAAATGTAGGTGCAATTTGCTAATTATGATGAAATAGAGAACAGAATAACAAACTATAAAAGTATCATTACGTACACTCATCAATAGATAAATTTCATCAATGGAGTTTAATGTTCAATATTCCTGTTTTTCAGAGGGTAAGGTAAACCACTACAGTGAGGGCAATTCATTATTTAACATGGTATTAGTAAAGTAAGGAGGAACCTTTGTGCTTCATGGAAATATCTAGGAGAACTTTGAGTCTAGAAAAATAGTGCTAGATAAAGCTTTGGGGAAAAGATATTTCAGTTTTACAAAATATAATATATGAAAAGAAAGATTTGACCCATAGCCACCTTGATCCCAGTTTTCCCATTTCAAAGGCCATTCAAATTGAAGTTATCACACAAATGGAGCTTCTTTGCCTTAGGATACTAATTACATAACATATAGTTGCCTGGTATCTGAAATTGGGAAATTCATATAATAATTATAATTTTGGTTAGATACACCTATTTCATGTATTTGTCTCTAAAAGTCCCAAAAAATGTAACGTATTCAGATTTTATAAAACAAAAGCAACATGCAAAAAAAAATTCAAAAAATAAGTAAACTATAAAACATTGGTGGAAGAAATTAAAGAATGCATAAATAAATGGAAGGACATATGTTCATGGATTAGAATGCTTAATATTTTTAAGAGCGCAATACTGCTCAAATAATCTACAGATGCAATATCTATGAAAAATCTTGTCAATATTTTAACTGCTTTTATTTCAGAAATAGAAAAGCTGATTATAAAATTGAAATGTAATTGCAGGGACCACAAATAGCCAAATAGAAAAATAAATCTTGAAAATGAAGAACAAAGTTGAAACTCTTACACTTCCTGCCCTCAAAACTCACTACAAACTATAATAATCAAAGAAGAATAGTATCACTATAAGGATAGACATACAGATCAATGGGATAGAATTGAGAGTCTGAAAGGAACTCCATACATCTATTATCAATTGATATTCATCAAGGGTGCCAAGATGATTTAATAGAGAATGAAAAGACCTGTGTCTTCAGCAATTGGCACTGAAGAAAGTGGATATTCATATATAAAATAATGAAGGAGAACCCATACTTCACACCAGGTAGTTACAGAAGTAACTTCTTTGTAGTAAAATAAAGATTTACCATTTTAAACATTTTAAAGTGTATAATTCAGTAACGTTTAGTACATTCACAATGTTTTGTCCCTTGTTCCAGAATGTTTTTATCACTCCAAAGAAACTGCACCTGCTGTCTTAGTCCATTTTGTGTTACTATAAATGAATACCCGAGGCTAAGTAATTTAGAAAGAAATCTATAAGCTCATGGTTCTGCACACTGTACAAGAAGCATGGTGCCGGCATCTGCTCAGCTTTTGGCAAAGTCTTTTGTGCTACATCGAAACAACAAAGTCAAAGGTGAAGTGGGCATGTGAGAAGAGGGACCAAACCCGAGAAATACTCTGGCTTTATAAGAACCCACTCTCATTCTGACAGAAACTGATACATTCCTCTGATAAACAATCAAGTCTTCTGAGAGACCTCACTCACTACCAATAGAATTGCACCAAGCCATTCATAAGAGATCTTCATCCATGACACTAATATCTCCCACAAGGCCCCAACTCCCAACACCACCACACTGAAGATAAATTTCAACATGAGATTTAGTGGTGACAAACAAACCCACTAAGCATTCATTCTGCATTATCCTCTCCCCCCCAGCTTCTGGCAACCACCAATATGCTTTCTGTCTCTATGGATCTTCTCGTTATGAATATTTTATATAAATTTGAATACCTAATGTGTTACCTTTTATGTTTGGATTTTTTCACATAACAAAATGCTTTAAGTTCCAAACATGCTGCCACATGTATTAGTACTTCATTCCTTTTTATAGCTGAATAATATTTGATTATGCATCTACCATAATTTTTTTTCCTTCAACTTTTACTTTAAGTTCAGGGGTACATGTGCATGATGTGTAGGTTTGTTACATAGGTAAGCTTGTGCCACGATGGTTTGCTGCACAAATCATCCCATCACCTAGGTATTAAGCCCAGCATCCATTAGCTATTCTTCCTGATATTCTCCGTCCTCCACTCACCCTGTGACAGGTTCCAGTGTGTGTTGTCCCCCAGTTGTATCCATGTGTACTCATCATTCGGCTCCTACTTATAAGTGAGAACATGCAGTGTTTGGTTTTCTATTCCTGCATTAGTTTGCAGAGGACACTGGCTTTCAACTCCATCCATGTCCCTCCAGAGGACATGATCTCATTCCTTTTTATGGCTGTATAGTATTCCATGGTGTATATGTACCACATTTTCTTTATCCGGTCTGTCATTGATGGACATTTACGTTGATTCCATGTCTTTGCTATTGTGAATAGTACTACAATGAACATACATGTTCATGTATCTTTATAATACAATGATTTATATTCCTTTGAGTATATACCCAGTAATGGGATTGCTGGATTAAATTGTATTCCTGCCTCTAGGTCTTTGAGGAATTGCCACACTGTCTTCCACAATGGTTGAACAAATTTACACTCTCACCAACAGTGTAAAAGTGTTCCTATTTCTCCACAACCTTGCCAGCATCTGTTGTTTTTTGATTTTTTAATAATAACCATTCTGACTGGTATGAGATGGTATCTCATTGTGGTTTTGATTTGCATTTCTCTAATGATCAGTGTTGTTGAACTTTTTTTCATATGTTTGTTGACTGCATGTATGTCTCGTTGTGAGAAGTGTCTGTTCTACAAGGCTACAGCAACCAAAACAGCAGGGTACTGGTACAAGAACAGACACATTGAACTATCCAACAGAATAGAGAACCCAGAAATAAGACTGCACACCTACAACCATTTGATCTTTGACAAACCTGACAAAAACAAGCAATGGGGAAAAGATTACTTATTTAATCAATGATGCTGGGATAACTGGCTAGCCATATGCAGAAAATTGAAACTGTAACCCCTCCTTACACCACATACGAAAATCAACTCAAGAGGGATTAAAGACTTAAATGTCAAACCCAAAACTATAAAAACCCTAGAAGAAAATCTAGGCAATGCCATTCAGGACATAGGCAAGGAAAAAGATTTCATAATGAAAATGCCACAAGCAATTTCAGCAAAAGCAGAAACTGACAAACTAAACTAAAAAGCTTCCACACAGCAAAAGAAGCTATTGTTAGAGTGAACAGACAACCTACAGAATGGGATAAAATTTTTGCAATCTATCCATCTGACAATGGTCTAATATCCAGAGACTACAAGGAATTTAAAGAAATTTAATGAAAAAAACCCATTAAAAAGTAACCCACTGTAATTTTTTTATTCCTTCATCCATTAGTGAACATTTAGTTATTTCCACATTTTGGCTATTGTGAAGAGTGCTGCTATAAACATTTATGCGCAAGTCTTTGAACACCTGTTTTCAATTTTTTTAGTATATACCTAGGAGGGGAATTGCTAGGTCTTATAGTAATTCTACCTTTAACTTATTGAAGAAACTGCAACTTATTTTACACAGTGGCCAAATCATGTTATGTTCCTACAAACAATGTATGAGTGTTATAATTTATCCACATTCATGTCAATATTTGTTATTATTATTTTTAAAATTATTATAGCCATCGTAGTGGAAAGAAAATAATCTCTCATTTTTCATTCACATTTTCTTAAATGACTAATGATGTTGGCAATCTTTTTATGTGCTTATTGACAATTTGTATATTTTTTGGAGAAATATATGTTCAATCCTTTGCTCATTTTATAATTGGGTTATTTGGGGTTTTTTTTGAGTTGTAGGAGTTTTTTATATATTCTGTGCTTGATCCTTATCAGATATATGACTTATAAATATTTTTCCCATTCTTTGAGTTGTCTTTTCACTTTCTTGATAGTGATCTTTGATGCACAATATTTTAAAAGGCACATTGCAGTAATAGTTATGTAGCATAATCGAAAACATGCATGCATGTGTGTAAGTTTAGAATACTTCTATAATTTTAGTTATAATAATACTAGCTCTTGTAACAGATAAGTCCCCATATCTCAGTGGCTTAAGGAAATTGAAGTTAATTTGTTGCTTATGTAGCATTTAAAATGTGTCTTTCTTTTCTAAGTGAGTTTCAAACTTCTAAGTTGTGATTTGGGCTCCTTCAAAATGGGGCTCTGCCATCTTCAACATCCTGATCTGTATTAAACTTGACAGGGAAGAACACAGAGGCATGCACATGGCAGGTTTTTATGGGCCTGGCCTAAAAGTGTAGCACAACACTTAGGGTCACATTTCATTGGTCAAAATGAAGTCCTATGGCCATACCTAACTGTAAGGGAGATAGAAATACAGTCTAGCTTTTTGTCCAGGAATAATAAATAATATGTTTATTGAATCGCTAGGTAATCTCTTTCACAAATATTTAAGAATATAGTAACTGAACTTACCTCTAGTAAGTGAGGCAGGGGACAGCAGAGAGAAATTCTTAATTTTTACCCTATAACTTTCTGTACTCTTTGAATTATTTTCAATAGTCATGACTGTTAGGAGCTGAATTAGGTCCCCCTCCAAAATTCATATGTTGCATCCTTAACTCTCAGTACCTCAGAATGTGATTGTATTTGGAGAAAGGCCCACTAAAGAATTGAATAAAGTAACATGAGGCTGTTGGTGTGCGCTCCAGTTCAATCTGTGTGATAGCCTTATCAGAAGAGGAAATTTACACATACAAAGAGACAACAGGGTCATGCTGACACACAGGAAAGACCATGTGAAGACAAAAAGGGTATCTGCTAGCCAAGAAGAGAGACCTTAGAAGAAACTAAACTGTAGTCTTGAAATTCCAGGCTCCAGAACTGTGGGAAAATAATTTCTATTTTTAAGCTACCCACTCTGTGAACAAAACAAAACAGTACATCACTTTCTAGGAACAACTAAGTTTAAAATTACCTAGAGCATCAGTTGGCTCAGTTAAATACTGACAGTGCCCATGTACTGCACTGAATTACAGTTTTCAAAATTTGCAGAGATGGAGAGTTAAATCTTTTTATCTTTTTATTTTTTAAGTAGCTGAGTTTCTACTATTGATTAGTTTTCAAATTTTTCTAACTTTACTTTAAACACTGAATATTATGACCATAAGTGAAAATTTTATGTCCTTTGCATATTGTTGTTGCTTAAGCAATAAGCAAAAATGAATCTATAGATTGTTAACTCATAATTAATTTAGGAATTTACAGATATGCTAAAAATTAATGGAAGTCTAACCACATTGTGATTGGGGTGACAACTGCTAACAATTTATTACTGACATATGGGAAAAGCTGCAGTATGGTTTTCATCCTATATTTGCTCTGGATTTTTTTTCTTCATTGCCCTGCTTTTGCATTGCCTTTTCTGTAACAGTAGTTGTCTAATTCTACACCCAATAGAATTCCATGGAATATTGTTATCCTATAGCTATCAGAATCAGCGTGTTGATTATGGAATTCTTAATCCAAATAATCCACATATTCTGTCCCCATTCCACAAAACTCAGCAGCTGTATTTTATTTTCTATTCTATTTCCATGTCCATTTGAATTGCTGTTGTTCAAATTCATGCCATACATAATTCCACTATGTAACATTAAGTCCCCAAATTCTAACAAATGCCTTTTCAGTGTCTCTTTCTTGCACACTACTCTACAGTTTGCACATACTTCTATAGCTTTGAAAAAAAAATATTCTCTCCTATAGTGATATGCTCTATCTTTCAAATGTTCTTTCATTTATGGTAATATGTTTTCTCTTTATGTAAAAAAACTAAAGTAAGAATGTGAAACAAGGGAAGTTCGGTGGATGCTTTTCAGTTTTAACACATAGCGTTCAGGTCTAGCTCATAGTAATTGAAGACGTGAGCCCCTAGTCGTACTAGCAATTCTCTCGTAATTCTCTAAATGTGTTCCTGTGGTCTTCGCTGTTCTCTGAATTTAGTCTGGTGCTTTCCACCTCTATTTTTATGAACATTTTATGTTTTCTGTGATCATGATTTGTAGCCACTCTGTGAATCTATCGTTAAAGGAGGATGGGTATTTCAGAAGCTGATGTGGGGAGTCAGGGAGCAGAGTGCTGCCTTCTTTTAAATAACTCAATACAATTGAACTGAGTAAAAGGAAACACAGTGTTTAGCCACAGAAATAGTCATTATCTTACAAAGGATTCCCCTTAGAATCTCTTTTGAAATGTTCTTTTGTGTATATATGCATAATGTATGTGTGTGCTCCCTTAGAAAATGTATGATATCCAATTTTCCAACACAATTTTTTTTCTTTTAACTTTTATTTTAGCTTCAGGGGTACATGTGCAGGTTTGTTATATAGGTAAACTTGTGTCACAGGGGTTTGGTGTACAGATTATATCATAACCCAGGTAGTAAGCATAGTACCAATAGGTATTTTTTCTGATCCTCTCCCTCCTCCCATGCTCCACCCTCAAGTAGGCTCCAGGGTCTGTTGTTCCCCTCTTTGTTTCCATGTGTTCTCATTATTTAGCTCCCACTTATAAGTGAGAACATGTGGCATTTGGTTTCTGTTCCTGTATTAGTCACTAAGGATAATGACCTCCAGTGCTAACCATGTTGCTGCAAAGGACATGATCTCATTGTTTTTATGGCTGCATAGTATTCCATAGTATATATGTACCACAATTTCTTTTTTTTTTCTTTGAGACGGAGTCTCGCTCTGTCACCAAGGCTGGAGTGCAGTGGTGCGATCACCACTCACTGCAAGCTCCACCTCCCGGGTTCACACCATTCTCCTGCCTCAGCCTCCCAAGTAGCTAGGACTACAGGCGCCTGCCACCACGCCTTGCTAATTTTTTGTATTTTTAGTAGAGACGGGGTGTACCACAATTTCTTTATCCAGTCTACCATCTATGGGCATTTAGGTTGATTCCATGCCTTTTCTATTGAGAACAATGTTGCAATGAACATATGCATGCGTCTTTATGATAGAATGATTTTCCTCTGGGTATATACCCAATAATGGGATTGCTGGGTTGAATGGTAATTCTATTTTTAGTTCTTTGAGGAATCACCGCACTGCTTTCCACAATGGCTGAACTAATTTACACTCTCACAGGAAGTGTATAAACTTTATTTTTCTCCGCAACCTCACCAGCATCTGTTATTTTTAAATTATAGCTATTCTGACTGGTGTGAGATATTTCACTGTGGTTTTGATTTGTATTTCTTGAATTATTAGCGATACTGAGCTTTTTTCATTAGCTTGTTGGCTGCATGTATGCCATCTTTTGAGAAGTGTCTTTTCATGTCCTTTGCCCATTTTTTAATTTTTTTTTTGCTTGTAATTTTTTTAAAGCTCCTTATAAAATTTGGATATTAGACCTTCGTCAGAAACACAGTTTGTAGAGGCCAAGGCAGGCAGATCACTTGAGGTCAAGAGTTCGAGACCAGCCTGGCCAACATGGGGAAACCCCGTCTCCACTAAAAATACAAAATTAGCCAGGCATGGTGGCAGATGCCTGTAATCCCAGCTACTCACGAGGCCGAGGCAGGAGAATCACTTGAACCCAGGAGGCGGAGGTTGCAGTGAGCTGAGATCAGGCCACTGTACTCCAGCTTGGGTGACAGAGTATAACTCCATCTCAAAAAATTAAAAAAAAAAGTTTGTAAATATTTTCTCCCATTCTGTAGGTCATCTGTTTACTCCTTTGACAGTTTCTTTTGCTATGTAGAAGCTTTAGTTTAATTACATCCCATTTGTCAAGATTTGCTTTGATTGCAATTGCTTTTGGCGTCTTCGTCATGAAATCCAGTTCCTGTGTCCAGAATGGTATTGCCTAGGTTGTCCTCCAGGGTTTTTATAGTTTGGGGTTTTACATTTAAGTCTTTAATCCATCTTGAGTTGATCTTTTTATATAGTGTAAAGGAGTTCAGTTTTAATTTTTTGCATATGGCTATCCAGTTATCCCAGCACCATTTATTGAGTAAGGAATTCTTTCCCCATTGTTTGTTTTGGTCAGCTTTGTTGCAGCTCAGATCCTTGTAGATGTGTGGCCTTATTTCTGGGCTCTCTATTCTGTTGAATAGTTCTATGTGTTTGTTTCTGTACCAGTACCATGTTGTTTTGTTTACTGTAGCCCTGTATAATTGTTTGAAGTCATGTAAGGTGATGCCTCCGGCTTTGTTCTTTTTGCTTAGGATTGCCATGGCTGTTTGGGCCCTTTTTTTGGTTCCATATGAATTTTAAAATCATTTTTTCTAGTTCTGTGAAGAACGTCATTTGCAGTTTTATAGGAATAGCATTGAATCTGTAATTTGCTTTGGGCGGTATGGAGAGTTTAATGATATTGATTCTTCCTATGCGTGAGCATGGAATATTTTCCCTTTTGTTTATGTTATCTCTGATTTGAGTAGTGTTTTGTAATTCTCACTGTACACATCTTTCACCTCCCCGATTAGCTGTATTCCTACGTATGTTATTCTTTTTTTTGGCAATTGTGAATGGGATTGTGTTTATGATTTGGCTCTCAGATTGGATATTGTTGGTGTACAGGAATCCTACTGATTTTTGTATGTTGATTTTGTATTCTGAAGCCTTGCCGAAGTTATTCTAATACAAATTTAATGGCCTCCTGTGTATAAATAATGGAAAAGTTTGGAACCTATTTGGAGAAAAGCGGTAAACTGTTTATTTTTTCTATAAATGAAATCAAGGGCTTTTCCACATGCAGCAGCAGACCATGATTATAATTCACAGAGTGAAATTACCACCTGAATCTTGGAGATTCTTACTGCATCAGCAAATAGCAGAATCTCTTTTGTTATTGTATGCACAGAGAGGCTCTCCTTCTAAGCACTCTTCTCTCAATGCCCCCCAAAAATGCAGAGCAACAAGACCTCCTGGGGTCCACAAACTCTGGTATCCTTACAAAAGTAAAGATAACAGAGAAGGTAATAATCTCTCTGGAAATAAGTAAAATTATTCCCTTGACATGGAAAGGATGTTACCAAAAAAAAAAAAAATCCTGTGGGAGAACAAATTGAAGCATTCTGTATAGTTTTATTTATATTTTATTTATTTGATATATGAACTCAGTCATACCATGAGTGTTTACTGAAAGTATAAAGAAATAGATGAAAAACTGTGGTTCTGTATTTTTTTCCAGAAAGTCAATATATCTTTCAATTTACTAAAACTGGTAAGATCATCTCATGCTGTAATTTATACAACCCAAGGCCTCCATTATGTATAATTTTGCCCATGTTGCTTATAAAATTTAAAACCCCCTTTTTCTATTTTAATTTGTAACAGTTTATAAGAAAGGCACACCATCATTATGAGTTGAGACCAAAAATACCACTGTGTAATCATAATATTCATCATCATGAAACTACCAACTATATTGTATTACAATAATACCTTAATGGTTAGTTTGGGGGGTTTTGTATAAATATCACAAGTATTTTATTACATGCCCAGATAATTGGGAAGGAGGCATAATAACTACTGATGTTTATAATCACATGCTAATTTTCTGCTGCCAGTAACTATGGTATTCATTTTCAATGTGGTCAGTAGGGCTCAGATATTTTATTACATTATAGTGAATATTGCCAGTAGAATATTTGAATATTGATCTTTTATATAAAAGCATAAGATTTCGAGTTTAAATTTATTAGAATAAATGGATGTGAAATCTTCTCTATTGCAGCATTATGAGAATATAGATGTCTGTATACCTAAGATATCTAAAGTTGATTTGGTCTATGAAAAGTGATGGGTACAACCCAAACTAATTGAATGGAATTACATAGTCAGTGAAAGCAACTCTTTTGACTTCTGCTTTCACAGAATTGTCTTCATCATTGATTTGGTTTCATGTATGTTATGCTTCATTAAAGGCAATTATAGAAAATGTTTTAATAGTCTGAAATGCATGTAGAATCCATTTAGGTTTAATACAACAAAAATCCTAATATTTATTAATAAATTACTGCATATGCTAAGCATATTTTAGCCATTAGATATAATTATACTCTCAAGCTAACTATACATTTTTATTTTTATTTTCAAGAAGGTTAAGTGACTAGCCCAAGATTACACAGTAGCAAGTAGCACATTAACTTACCTAAATGAAGATTCACAATGCCCTGAAATGCCAAGACTGATTCTAAGTACAGGCGTACTTTGGAGATATTGCAGGTTCAGTTCCAGACCACTGAAATAAAGTGAATATCTCAATAAAGGGAGTTACACAGCTTATTTGTTTCTTAGTGTATATAAAAATTATATTTACACTATACTGTAGTCTATTGAGTGTGCAAAGGCATTAACTCTAAAAAAAATCACGCATCTGAATTTAAAAATACTTAATTGCTACAAAATGCTAAAGATCATCTGAGCCTTCAGCTAATTGTAACCTTTATGCTGGTAGAGAGTCTTACCTCAATATTAATGGCTGCTGACTGATCAGGAGGTGATGGTCGCCATAGGCTGGAGTGCTTGTGGCAATTTCTTAAAATAAGACAACAATGAAGTTGGCAACACTGATTGACTCTTCTTTGATGAAAGGTTTCTCTGTAGCATGCAATGCTATTTGATAGCATTTTTACCCTCAGTAGAGGTTCTTTCAAAATTTGAGTTGTTCTTCTCAAACTCTGCCTCTGCTGTATCAACTAAGTTTATAAATATACTAAATTACTTGTTGTCATTTCAAAAATGCTCACAGCCAGGAGTAGATTCCATCTCAAACAAATAAACAAACAAACATTTTATTTGCTCATCCGTAAGAAGCAACTTAACTATTCAAGTTTTCCCATGACACTGCAGCAATTCAGTCACATCTTCAGGCTCCCCTTCTAATTCTAGTTCTCTTGCTATTTCTACCACATCTGTAGTCACTTTCTCCACTGAAATATTGAACCCCCTCGAAGTAATTCATGAAGGTTGAAATAAACTTCCAGATTTCTGTTAAAGTTTATTTTTGACAGTTTCATGCATCATAAATGTTCTTAATGGCATCTAGAATGGTGAATCATTTTCAGAAGGTGTTCAATTTATTTTGCCCAGATTTCTCAGAGGAATGACTATAGCAGCTATAGCCTTATGAAATGTATTTCTTAAATAATAAGACTTGAAAGTCAAAATTACTACTCGATTCATGGACTGCAGAATTGATGTTGTGTTAGCAGGCACGAAAAAGACATTCATCTCCTCGTGCATCTCCATCAGAGTGCTTGGGTGCATTGTCAATAAGCAGTAATATTTTGAAAATCATATTTTTTGGTTCTGAGCAGCAGGTATCATCAGTGGGCTTAAAATATTCAGAAAGCCATGCTTAAACAGAAGTGCTGTTGTCCAGGCTTTGTTGTTCTACTTATAGAGCATGGGCAGAGGAGATTTAGCATCATTCTTAAGAGCTCTAACATTTTCAGGCTGGTAAATGAACATTGGCTTCAAGTTAAAGTAACCAGCTGCATTAACCCCTAACAAGAGGGTCGGCCTATCCTTTGAAGATTTGAGGCCAGGCATCAACCTCTCCTTTTTAGCTATGAAAGTCCTAGATGGCATCTTCTTCCAATAGAAGGATGTTTTGCATCCATTGAAAATACATTGTTTAGTGTAGCCATCTTCATCAATAATCTTAGCTAGATAATCAGGATAACTTGCTGCAACTTCTACACCAGCACTTGTTACCTCACCTTGCACTTTTATGTTACGGAGATGGCTTCTTTCCCTAAACCTTATGAACCAACCTCTGCTGCTTCAAGCTTTCCTTCTGTAGCTTCCTCACTTCCCTCAGTCTTCATAGAATTGGAGAGACTTAGAACCTTTCTCTTAACCAGGCTTCGGTTTAAGGGAATTTTGTGCCTGGTTTGATTTTCTATCCAGACTTCTGAAACTTTCTTCCTATCAGCAATGAGGCTGTTTCACTGTCTTATGATTTGTGTGTTTACTGGAGTAGCACTTTTGCTTCAATAACTTTTCCTTTGTGTTCACAGCTTGGCTAACTGGTGAAAGAGGCCTAGCTTTTAACCTATCTTAGCTTTTAGCATGCCTTCCTCACCAAGCTCAATCATTTCTGGCTTTTCATTTAAAGCAAGAGATGTGTGATTCTTCCTTTCATTTGAACAATTAGAGGCCATTGTAGGGCTATTAATTGGACTGATTTTAATATGTTGTATCCCAGGGAATAGGGAGGCCTGAAGAGGGAGAGAAATGGGAGGACGGAAAGTTGGTTGAACAGTCAGAACACACACAACATTTGTTGATGAAATTTGTCTTCCTATATGGGTGTATTTTGTGGTACTCAATAATTACAATAGTAACATCAAGGACCACAGATCACAGATCACCATAACAGATATATAATAATGAAAAGGTTTGAAATATTCAAAAAATTACCAAAATGTGACACAAAGACACAAAGTAAACACATGCTTTGTGAAAAAAGTGTGCTGACAGACTTGCCCAATGCAAGGTTGCTACAAACCATTAAGTTGTAAAAAGTATCATATCTGTGAAGCACAGTAAAATGAAACACAATAACAAAAATTATGCCTGTAACTCTAAAACAAATGAATTAATCAATAAAAAAGATCTAAAATCTCCAGAATAAATATTGCAAAGCAGAAGTACAATGTAGTGCCATTTTTTTCAAATATTTTACCCTTTATCAAATGTTTATGAATGGAATTGACTTAATGCTAACCAAGTAGTTGCAATCCACCATATAAATATCGAGACTAATTCTCTGTAATCCTGGTTATATTCTCCTTCAAATGACATTAACTATTTTTCATTGTACTAAAATATACATAAAATTTACTATTTTAACCATTTTAAGTACACAGATCAGTGGCATTAAGTGCATTCACATTGTTGTACACCCTTTCCTAGGCATCTACAGAGCTTTTTCATCTTCCCAAACCGAAACTTCATACTCGTTAAACAATTCTCCATTCTCCCTCCCCAAGCTTCCAGCACCTGGCAACCACCATCCTACTTTCTGTCTCTATGAATTTGATTACTTTAGGTGCCTCATATAATAAGTAGAATTATACAATCTATGTCCATTAGTGAATGGCTTATTGCAATTTGTATGTGTCTTTAAGGATTATTCATGTTGTAACATGTGTCAGAATTATCCTACTTTTTAAGGCTGAATATGTCACTGTATGTATATACCACATTTTATTTATTAGTTTATACATTAAGGGACATTTGAGTTACTTCCACCTTTCAGCTGTTGTTAATAATGCTGCTATTAGCACAGACATACAGATCATCTGTTCCAGTCCCTGTTTTCAATTATTTTGTGCATATGTCCAGAATTCGAATTCCTGGATAGTAAGGTAATTCTATCTTTAATTTTTTGAGAAACCGCCAGACTGTTTTATACAGTGGCTGCACCATTTGACCTTCTCATCAGCAATGTACAAGGGTTCCAATTTCTCCACATCTATGCCAACACTTACCATTTCCTGGTTGTATTTGTTGTTGTTGTTGTTGTTAATAGCCATCCTAATGGGTGTGAATTTTGATTTGCATCCTGTAATAATTGATGATGTTGAACATCTTTTCTTGTGCTTATTGGACATTTATATACCTTTGAAGAAATGTCTATTTAAGCCCTTTGCCCATTTTGAATTGGGTATATTTGGTTCTTGAGATTTAGCAGTTTTTAATATATGGTGGATATTAATCTCTTACCAGATATGTAATTTGCAAATATTTTCACTCATTTTATGTATTTTTTTCACTCTGTTCATAGTATATTTTGACACACAAATCATTTTAATTTGGATGAAGTCCAATTTATTTATTTTTTCTTTTGTTTCCTGCGCTTTTGGTTATCATATTCAAGAAATTATTGCCAAATACAATATTATGAAGCTTTTCCTCTGTTTTCTCCTGAGTTTTATTGCTTTAGATCTTATAGTTTAGCTCTTTGATCCAGTTTGTTAAAGTTTTGTATATGAAATAAAATATGTTTCTAACTTTATTCATTTGCATGTGGCTATCCAGTTTCTCCAACACTGTTTTTCTTTTTGGCATTGAATCATTTGCCACTTTGGTCAAATGCAATTTGAATGTATATATAAAGGTTTATTTCTGAGTTCTCTATTATATTCCATGTATCTATATATCTGTCTTTATGACAGCATCACACTGCTTTGATTACTATAGCTATGTAGATTTGAAATCAGGAAATGTGACATCTCTAACTTTTTTATCTTTATTTTTATTATTATTATTATAATTTTGAGATGGAGTCTCACTCTGTCGCCCAGGCTGGAGTGCAGTGGTGCGATCTCAGCTCACTGTAACCTCCGTCCTCTGAGTTCAAGCGATTCTCCTGCCTCAGCCTCTCGAGTAGCTGGGATTACAGGTGCCTGCCACCACACCCGGCTAATTTTTGTATTTTTAGTAGAGACGGGGTTTCACCATCTTGGCCAGGCTGATGTTGAACTCCTGACCTCATGACCCACACGCCCCGGCCTCCGAAAGTGCTGGGATTACAGGCTTGAGCCACTGCACCCAGCCTATTTTTATTTTTTACCATTGTTTTGGCTATTCTGCATCCCATGAGTTTCCATATGAATTTGAGGATGGATTTTTCTATTTTCTGCAAAAATATTTCTGGAATTTGGGTAGAGATTGCATTGAATCTGTAGATTGTTCTGTGTGCAATAGACATTTTAATAATATTAAGTCTTCTAATCTATGAACATTGGGTTTATTTGCATTTATTTACATCCTCCTTAATTTTTTCAGCAATATTTTATAATTTTCATTGTGTAAATACTTATTTCTAAGTATTTTATTCTTTTTGATATTATTGTAAATTGAATTTTCTTATTTATTTTGGGGGTTGTTCACTGGTGGTGTATGAAAATGCAACTTATTTTATGTTTGATTTTGTATCCTGCAACTTAGCTGAATTCATTTATTAATTTTAACAATTTTTATAACATCTTTAGAATTCTTCACACGATTATGCCATCTGCAGATAGAGATAATTTTACTTCTTCTTTTCTAATTTAGATGCCTTTTCTGCCTTATTGCACTTTAATTATTATTTTCTGATCTAATCAATGATGATGATTAAACTCAATTGTATCAGAACTCACCCATTTTATAGAGAATTTTATTTTATTTTATTTTATTGAGATGGAGTCTCTCTCTGTCGCCCAGGCTGGAGTGCAGTGGCACGATCTCAGCTGACTGCAACCTCTGCCTCCTGGGTTCAAGTGATTCTCCTGCCTCAGCCTCCCATGTAGCTGGGACTACAGGCATGCACCACCACGCCTGGCTAATTTTTGTATTTTTTAGTAGAGAGAGGGTTTCACCATGTTGGCCAGGCTGGTCTCGAACTCCTGACCTCGAGTGATCCGCCTGCCTGGGCATCCCAAAGTGCTGGGACTACAGGCACAAGCCATAGTGCCCAGCCTAGAGAATTTTAAATTAAATATTCAACTAAAATTACATGTGTCATAGATAGGCTTACATATATGAAACAAATATAAACCTTGGATTCAAGTAGTTTATGATTTCTTATGAAGTTTAATTCTAGTACTGCTATGGTTTGAGGTTTCTGTCCCCTTCTAAATTCATGTTGAATCTTAATTTTCAATGCAGCAGTATTATGATGTATGGTCTCTAGGAAGCGATTCAGTAATAAGGGTGTTGTCCTCATGAATGAGATTAGGTTTTTAAAAAGAGTTTGATGGAAGGAATTTGCCCCTTTTCATTCTTTCCATCCCTTCCACCCACATGAGGACACAACATTCCTCTTCTGAGGATGCAGCAAAAAGGCGACATCTTGGAAGCAGAAAGCAGGCCTCACCAGGCACCAATCCTGCTGGCACATTGGTCTGGGACTTCTCAGCTTCCAGAAATGTACAAAATAAACTTGTTTTTCATAAATTGCCTAGTCTTAGGCTTTTAAAAAATACCTATAACAGTACTAGCAGACAAAGACAAGTACCATATACTTGCATAGGCATGCACCACATAACAACATTTTGGTCAACAATGAACTGTATATAGGAGGGTGGTTACATAAAATCATAATAGAGATTAAAAAATCCTATTTCCTAGTATTTACAATACTATATTTTTTATCATTATTTTAGAGTGTACTCTTTCTACTTAAAAAAAAAAAGTTAACAGTAAAACAGTTTTAGGCAGGTCCTTCAGAAGGTATTCCAGAAGAATGCATTGTGATCACAGGAGATGACAGCTTTATGTGTGTCATTGACTCTGATGACCTTGCAGTGGTACAAGATGTGGAGTTGAATGACAGCGATATTGATCCTGAGCCTGTGTAGGCCTAGGTTAATGTGTGTGTTTATGACTTAGTTTTTAAGAAAAAAATTAAAATAAAAGCTTATAGCGTAAGGATATAGAGAAAAAATATTTTTGTACAATTATGCAATGTGTTTATGTTTTAATCTGTGTTATTACAAGAGTAGAAAAGTTAAAAATTTTAAAGTTTATAAAGTACAAAAGTTACAGTAAGCTAATATTAATTTACTATTAAAGATAAATAATATGTTAATAAATCCAGTGTAGCCTAAGTGTACAGTGGGTTTTTTTTTTTTTTTTTTGAGATGGAGTATTGCTCTGTCGCCCAGGCTGGAGTGCAGTGGTGCCATTTTGGCTCACTGCAAACTCCACCTCCCGGGTTCACACCATTCTTCTGCCTCAGCCTCCCAAGTAGCTGGGACTACAGGCAGCCACCACCACACCCGTCTAATTTTTTGTAATTTTAGTAGAGACGGGGTTTTACCATGTTAGCCAGGATGATCTCGATCTCCTGACCTCGTGATCCGCCCGCCTTGGCCTCCCAAAGTGCTGGGATTACAGGCATGAGCCACCACGCCTGGCCGTGTACAGTGTTTATAAAATCTATAGTAGTATATAGTAATGCCCCAGGTTCACATTCACTCAATACTCACTCCTTGACTCACCCAGAGCAACTTCCAATCATGCATTTCCATTCATGGTAAGTGCCCTATACAGGTGTATCATTTAAAAAAAAAATCCTTTATGCCGTAATTTTACCACACTGTTTCTATGTTTAGATATATGTAGATACCCAAATACTTACCATTGTGTTAGAATTGCCTATAGTATTCAGTACAGTCACACGCTGTACAGGTATATAGCCTAGGAGCAATAAGCTATACTATGCCGCCTAGGTGTGCAAAGACTATACCACTTAGTTTTGTGTAAGTACACTATATAATGTTAGACAAAATTGTCTGAAGATGATGCATTTCTAAGAACATATCACAGTCATTAAGTGAGGCATGACTCTAATTCAAGATAGACATTTAAGAGACAGAAACTAGGTGATCTGCTGCTTTTCCCATTGTTACGATTACCTTAAGAGGCAAAGGAACCTGCACTCAAACTTTGGTTCTGATGTCTGAGAATGATGATGCCACACTCATACCAAGAGGGTATGAAACGGTTAATTACTTATTTGAAATCTCCAGGGAGAGCATGCAGGCTTAAAGTGACTTGAGAGCAAGAAAAGAAGAATTACCTGTTTTGTTTTGTTTTTTATTTTGGCTAGGGGATGGGACTGAGATGAGAGTTCCTATAAGGGCAGGAATTTGTGTTGCTTGAATTTCTTGCCCCTGTCAGAGAACAAAGAAGGTAGGTTTTCTTATTAGCTTGCCCAGGTGCAGGGCACAGAAGGGAGAGGAAAAGGTCTGGCATAAAAGCTGTCAGTTGTAAAACATTTAAAACATGGAGTCAGACTCCCTATGTAACTTTTCTACTGCTGGTGAACATTTAATTTGCTTTGAGTTTTATGTTATTAAGAATAATAAGGCTATGAATATTCTTGTACATGTCTTTGGTAAATACATGAATGCATTTCTGTTCGTTATATGCCAAGAAGTAGAAAAGCTGGGTCTTAGAGTATGCTTATGTTCTGTTTCAGTAGGTACTGCCGAGCAATTTTCCAAAGAAGTTGTACCAATTCACACTTTCACCCAAAGTCAAATTAAGTCCTGGTAGCTCTGCATCCTCATCAATACTTGATATTTTACATAGTTTTAATTTTAGTCATTCTATCATTGTTATTTGCAGGATTAAAGAAAATAATGTGTAGGGTGTTAAAATTTGGCTCTGTGTCCCCACGAAAATCTCATGTTGAACTGTAATCTCTAATCTTGGAGGTGGAACCTACTGGGAGGTGATTGGCTCATGAAGGTGGTTTCTAATGATTTAGCACCATCCTCCTAGTGCCGTCTCATGATAGAGTTCTCACGAGATCTAGTTGTTTAAAAGTTTAAAAGTGAAGTTTGTAGCACTTCACCCTTTGTTCTCTCTCCTGCTGCCATATGAAGATGTGCTTGCTTCCCCTTTGCCCTTCTGCCATGATTGAAATTTCCCTGAGGCCTCCCTAGCCATGCCTGTTATACAACCTGTGAAACTGTGAGTCAATTAAACTTCTTTCTGTTATAAATTACTGAGTCACAGGTAGTTTTTTATAGCAATGGCAGAATGGACTAATACAGGTGTTTATATATTTCTAGCCCCAAAACATGTTACCATCATCATCATCATCACCATATTAAAGGCACATTTTGTATTGCAAATATCAAGGCATTATCACATTATAAATATAAAATTAATAGAAAATTAACAAATACCCACCACAGAGAAAACTAAAGTTAATAAATTCTGAATTCTGTGCTGCTCACAGTTTTTTCTTTTTTCCTTTTTTTTTTTTTTTGAGATAGAGTCTCTCTTTGTTACCCAGGCTGGAGCTCAGTGGCATGATTTAGGCTCACTGTAACCTCTGCTTCCTAGGTTCAAGTAATTCTCCTGCCTCAGCCTCCCGAGTAGCTGGGATTACAGGCACACACCACCATGCCCAGCTAATTTTTTGTATTTTCTGTAGAGATGTGGTTTTGCCATTTGGCCAGGCTGGTCTCGAACTCCTGACCTCAGGTGATCTGCCCACCTCGGCCTCCCAGAGTGCTGGGATTACAGGCGTAAGCCACCACGCCGGCCTCCTCACAGTTTTCTTGTCAAACTTCTCTGAATATGCACACTCATAATTAGTTTCTAATAGATACAGTATTTTGAATGTTTTCCCCCTTAAGGCTATTGATATGCAAATGTTGTTATCTCTAAATTGAGCTAGTCTCGTGCTTTGACCCCAGGCTGAGCCCAGCTGGCTATTCGGACAGCCTAAGTGCACCCATCTGGCAAAAGGCAAGTTTGTATATATGGACTCTTGTGTCTCCACTGTAGGTCTTCAGCCAGCTCCAGGTGCCTTCAGTACGCTGCAGAACTTCTTGCTTACAGTGCAAAACTTTTTGCATATTAGTCAGTTTGGTTGATTCAAGTTAACCATATGTGTTCATTTTTAAAAGAAATATTTTACTACTCTCTCATAAGCTGCTTATTGATCTACTCTTGAAGAACAAGATATAGTGCAAAGGACAAGATCTAAATAGAGCAAAACCAGTTGTCCTGTACACTCTGCAGGGAGACATGTTAAATATAAGCAATTTCAAAAATGTAACATTTAACCAGTATTAATGGTCTGAAACAGGAACTTCCTTGACACAAGAGCAAAAACGAATCCTTCTGGGAAAATTCCGAAAGCCTTGTTTCAAGATGCTAAACATCTGGTTGGTCATATAGGAACTCAGCTTTACTTTTTGCCACCTTCTTCATAATCTTTCTTCCCTTGCCTACACAAGCACATGGTCTGGCTATACATCCATCACTGTGTGGCTGATGGAAGGCCTAAGTGCTCAGTGTTTTAATTGGAGTGCTTTAAAATTTCTTCTAAGTATAAAGCCTACAGTGATTCAAGCTAGAAATTTTTGAATGTTTCCTAGGCTTGTTATCTATTATAAATGCTGTTATATCCTAAATGTGTTATGTACATGAGAGTAGAAGTTCTTAAATATTCTGTCTTCATTGTCTTATACTTACTAAACTCTTGAGAGACTCCTTTTGGAGTATAAAATGTCACAATTCACTTATGTAAATGTTGGCTGCAGCTGAAAGCCTGTTCCACATTTAGCAAGACAAAAGAAAAGGGAATAAAGGGCATTGCAATTGAGCCTATATTATACAAATTATAAGATGTTTGTTTTACTTATTTTCCTTTCTTTTTGTCCTTTTCGTCTTTCATTCATGATTGCTGTCATGTAGTCATTTAGGTAGAGGGTAGACACTAATAATTGATTAACTTCATATTTTAACCCCCAGGGGCTACTTGCAAGACTAAAGAACATGTTTTTCTCTTAAACAACAATGATCCTTAGGTCATGCAGACCTCCTTGATGGCATCCAGAAGTTTGATCAGCTGAGCGATGCAAGCAGCTTTGATCATCCAGAAATCTCATGTCCCGCATTCCTATCTTACTCATAAAATCCCCAGTTATGTTCAAATGCAGGTTGAATTTGAGAGTTTGCCTCCTGCCCCTTCACTTTGGCCAAATCAAATAAACATTCTCTGCTCCTAAGTGCTAATGTGTCAGTGTTTGGCTTACTGAGCACTGGGTACTCAAACCACCCTTCATGCTAAAAACTCTCAATAAATTAGGTATTGATGGGACATATCTCAAAATAATAAGAGCTATCTATGACAAACCCACAGCCAATATCATACTGAATGGGCAAAAACTGAAAGCATTCCCTTTGAAAACTGGCACAAGACAGGGATGCCTTCTCTCACCACTCCTATTCAACATAGTGTTGGAAGTTCTGGCCAGGGCAATTAGGCAGAAGGAAATAAAGGGTATTCACTTAGGAAAAGAGGAAGTCAAATTGTCCCTGTTTGCAGATGACATGATTGTATATCTAGAAAACCCCATTGTCTCAGCCCAAAATCTCCTTAAGCTGATAAGCAACTTCAGCAAAGTCTCAGGATACAAAATCAATGTACAAAAATCACAAGCATTCTTATACACCAATAACAGACAGAGAGCCAAATCATGAGTGAACTCCCATTCACAATTGCTTCAAAGAGAATAAAATACCTAGGAATCCACCTTACAAGGGACGTGAAGGACCTCTTCAAGGAGAACTACAAACCACTGCTCAATGAAATAAAAGAGGATACAAACAAATGGAAGAACATTCCATGCTCATGGGTAGGAAGAATCAATATCGTGAAAATGGCCATACTGCCCAAGGTAATTTATAGATTCAACGCCATCCCCATCAAGCTACCAATGACTTTCTTCACAGAATTGGAAAAAACTACTTTAAAGTTCATATGGAACCAAAAAAGAGCCCGCATCGCCAAGTCAATCCTAAATTCTGGATTTCTATAACAGTATTTGGGACACTTCTTTAAAGGAATAGAAAATAAGGGCAATCATTCTGAAGAAAGGAAATGACACAACTTACTGAACAAGATTGTCTCAACATTGCTTTCAGCTTGACTCAACTTTAGTAGAAAGATTTCCTGACTCTAGTCCTCTGGGCTGCCTTTCTTGGGGTATTTACTTTAGAAAACTTACAACTGCAGATCATTTCTTTGCCCCTTTGAAACGTATATAAATCTTATCTCAGCATCTTGCTAGTTTCCCAATCCAGACAATATCTTTCTCAAGGACCTGCGATCCATCTTTTTGAAATGTAAACATTAAAGGTGATAGAGTAATAGTACTTCTATCTCCCAGCCTCTGTGTGAGGGTAGAAGCCTAACTTAGAAAGGTGCCAGTTAAAAAACACAGATGGCCTAATCACAGTGGAAAATATTTGCAAACTCAAGAATAACTCAATGTGCTCCACAATGTGATCCACATTGATCAACCCTCCCCCAACATCCTCCAGTAATTTTCCAGTAGCTCACCCCAGTGTTAAAAAACCTTTCACCTGTTGCAATAGCCTGTGTAAAATCTGTTTTCATCCTCTAAATTTTATGCTCCCAGGGTCCAGTCCCAGCTTCGAGCATTTTATATGTTTAAATCAATTTTGATAATGGCATTTGAGTCTCATAGAAATGTTGCATATCCTGCCCTAGAGGAGTTTACATTCTGAAATGGCTAATGCTACAAGATTCTACTTTATACAATTTGAAATGAGATGCAATCACTTACTTTGGAAATAAGAACAGCTTCAGAGAAAATGCAGTTTTTAGGCATGATCCAAATAAATGATGTAATAAGGAATCCTTCAAAAAATCACAGATGAATCCTGAAACCTGTTGACAATGTCATCTTGTAGAAATAAGTAAAGACTAATCCCATGAGAATAACCAAAGGCTATTTCTTCAGAGATTGCTATGGCAAAGGAGTCAGCCACTATCATCACATGCATTTCGCAGAGATTCAAAGGCAAACAGAAGATTTGGAAAGCTTTGTGTTGTACAGACAAAAAGGCTTCAGGCATGAAACTTAACTGATTGGAGGTTGCTGGCATGGGGAAGTTGGAGGTGGGCTAACTAGAAGTGGGCATCTTATTTAACTTTAACTTTCTGTGGTTGGCCCTGAATTGGAAGCAGATGAAAAATGCAGGGAAGCTAGCAGTGATTGACAAACTTCTGATCATTCTGGACTAATTGCTCAGAAGCTGTACTCTAGCTTCCCAAACAGGTTGCTTCAAAATGTGCAGGTCAGAGTTCTATGGCCAGAGATCATCTAGCCAATGTCCTTTTTTCTTTTATTGAGAACATGTTCTTTATATTTAGCAAAGTAGGGAAATTACAGAGTCTTTCCTGTCCTATTGTTTTACATATAAAACAACAGATAATTATATTTGGATTTACCATTGGTTCATAATTTCTGCCCCAGGCAAAGTAATACAGTGATTATCTCCCTTCCTCATCATGTCTCTGTAGAAACAGTGCATGTCATAAGGGAGAGTATATCTATGCCTTGTCATTGATAAATGACTGAGTAATGACAGGCCCAAATTCCAGGAATGTTCTGGACAACAAAAAGACTCCTCTCGTATCTAAGAGCTGGCACATTCTGTGGGAAATATCTGGGTGGTTTTAGGCATTGATGCTAAAAAGGGAATAAAGGACACTGTGAAACCTTTTTTTTTTTTGCAGTCTTTGTCCTTCAATTTCCCGAAGAACATATGTCTATATGATTTTAAAGATAACAGTGTGCTATGGAGAATGGAGAGATAGCAAAAACTAAAATAAATGAGGTTAATTTTAGTAAATAGGCTGATGTCTGGGTTGGGCATTTGAGATAAAGGGAAACCAGAGAGAAGACAGGCTGTGAACATGTTCCAAATAATCATCCAATGTGGAGCACACTGATAGAAGTGGTATAGTGATAGCACTACAGTGATAGTAAAAGACAAGAACCTGATGCTACAAATAAACTATGCTATACATTACCCTGGATGTCTAGATTTTATTAAATAAGTGGCAGGTAATCTTCAATGGCATACATATCTTTTCGTGGCAATGGATAATGACAGAATAGTTCCACTCAGGGGAAAGGGACATGCAGGATCTTGCAACCCAGGACTACACAGGCTTGATCTGGGGTAAAATAACTCAGAAAGAGGGATTCTCCCAAAAGAAAAGTATCAGCGCAAGTTTTAATTCATAAAAGTCAGATGTGTAGACAATGCAGGACATCCAGAGAGGCTGTATAGAAGTTAGAATATGTTGTGAGAAGTCACAGACAGTGAAGTTTTCAGGATTATGTAAACACTGGGTTATAAGGAGTAAAAGAGGCAAACCATGACTCATGAGCAGGCTCCATGTATAGGAGAGCAAGACAAAATAAGACCAAGTTCAGTGAAACAATAGCAGCAAATATATAATTACAATCAAAGTGTAGTTGATTTGCCTTTCTCTGATGATTAGTGATATTGAACATTTTTCGTGTTTTATATAGGTTTTTTGAAGATGTACAACCTGCTTGTACGTCTTCTTCTGTGAAGTGTTTGTTCATGTTGTTTGCCCGGTTTTTAATGGATTATTTGTTTTTTGCTTGTGATTTAAGTTCTTTGCAGATTCTGGATATTAGACTTTTGTCAGACTCAAAGTTTGCAAATGTTTTCTCCCTTTCTGTAGGCTGTCTGTTTACTCTGTTGATAGTTTCTTTTATTGTGCAGAAAATAAATGCAAATCAAAACCACAATGAGATACTATCTCACACAAGTCAGAATGTGTATTATTAAAAAGTTAAAAAATAACTGATGCTGGTGAGACTGTGGAGAACAGGGAAGGCTCATACACTGTTGAATGGAATGCAAATTAGTTCAGCCACTGTGGAAAGCTGTTTGGAGATTTCTCAAAGAACTTCAAGGAGAACTATTATTTGACCTAGTAACCCCATTACTGGGTATATACCCAAAGGAAAATTAATTATTCTACCAAAACTACACATGTGCTCGAATGTTCATCATAGTGCTATTGGTTTGGATAGAAAAACTTTGATACATATACAACATGGAATACTACACAGTCGTAAAAGAATGAAAATGTAGTTAAGGATTAGAAGCACCAAATTAGTTCACAAAATTTGTTAGGTTGAAGTTAACCCATTTTTCCACTTATAAAAATGTATAAAGTATTTCACACAAAAACATTCATGCTATTATGTGTTAACTTTTCCCCTGACACTAGAGTTACAGGAATTCCTCTGTAACAACTTGCAAATCTCAGGGAATCAAGAGTAGGTGTGGATAGGACTTGAAAGCATCACAGAGCAAATCAGCACATGGACAAACTATGCTCAATCTTTTGTAAAAAAATTCTCTGGAACATTGATTTTAGGTTACCTAGAAGCATAATGTGTTCATCATGTTTACTTTCAAACTACTGTGTTTTGTCTTCAACTTTAGTGTTGAGTGGCTCTTCTACTCTATAGAAATATGCTGCCTGGTTAGTTTTTCTCCCTCCATCATGGGTTTCAGGTCCCAATCCAGAAGGGTGTGTTTTTGCCAAAAGCTTGATCACTCTACCATATGTCATTTCGATGGTCAAAGAGTTCCTTATATATTTTTCTATGATATATTTAGAAAAAAACCATAATAAGTTTGGTTTAGGGGTTAGAATGAAGCACACAAAGATAGCTTAAAATTATAAAATATATACTGGCTTTCTTCTGGGGAGAGGAAAAATGTAGTGTCATGAGGCCAGAGGAAGGCTGGGTCAGAACAAAGATGCATCAGCAGGAAGGATAGAGCCCTCTTTTTGGAGGCCACGATAGTCCTGGGAAAATAATAGAAGAAAAGCAAGGGGACCTCAAGTGAAAATAAAAGCAACATAAAAATTTGGAGAATTTTACACCATATTCTAAAGCGTATTTTTCACTAAAGTACATTAATGGAGATTTAATTTGAAAATAGTAATATCTTTGTGCAGTAAAATGTGGAACAAAAATGTGGCAGATATCTACTGCACTGTGTTCTCAACACACATTATCTGTTTACTTTTCACCAGGATTCTATAAAATAGGCACAATTTTATGACAAGTTTTAAGTATTATGGAAATAAGGGTCAGAGCTATGCAGAAGAGCCAGAATTTATACTCAAATACTCATCAGGACTTTGGCTTTTTAACCAAAATTCTAAGCCACTTTAGGACTCACTTCCCTATTATTCACATAGCTAGTCCCAGGTAATTACAATAAAGTTCAGCAATTTGCTGAGATTACACAGCTGGTAAGTGGTAGAAACAAACTTAGATTCTGAAATAGCATGTAAAATATTGTAACTAAAAAACACCTTGTAAAAGGATTCACAGTTACGGGAACAGCCTTCCTATAATAAACTACTATAAAACTGGATAAAATATATTATTAAACTATTATTTTCAGGCATCAGTCAGCAGTCAGTGCAAGACTGTGGTCCATGAGATAAACAAATGAGACTTTATGATTACTCCAGCTTATTGAGTTTCCAAGCCATAGGGTAGAAAGTGTCAAATCAAATGGAGCCCAGTGATCTTACTGAGTTGGTAAGATAAATATTAATGTTAACGGAAATTTAGGCAGCTAGAATTTGAGGGACCAAATACTGAAGAGGAGGGAGCTATACAAAAATAAGTTTACCGAAAGCTGAGAGAAGAACCACTAGGAATAGTAATCTTGTTCCTAGAACTCATACAAGGGTGAGATTAATCTGTGTTTCTACCAGGCAATAACTCAGAAGAATATCACCATTTTAGTGAGATTTAACTAATTTTAGAATAAAGACTATTTTGGACCTTCCTTAACAAAGTTTAAAACTAAGTTCTGAAAGGACTGTCTTCATTATAAGTAATTAACTCTGTGCTAGAAGAAAGTCAAAGGCTCTTTAAAGAAATGCCACGGAATGTATTATGCAATACAGTAATAAACACAGTTCCAGGCTTCCAGTGAAAAATTTCAAGCCATGGAAAGAAGCAAAAAATTATGATCCATTTAGCAATAAATACGCAAGCCCAGAAATGACATGATTGAATTAGCAGACAAGCACCCTAAAAGATCAACTACAAATATGTTTCATATGCTAAAGAGTGTAGAAGAAATAGCAGACATGGTGAAGAGAGAAATGGAACATATAAAAATACAAAAATGAAACTCCTAGAGATTAATATATTATATTTGAATATGTTATCTACCTATTTGTCATCTATCTCAATAGTAGAGATAAAACATAATCCCCTTAAAAAGACTGACTATATTCTATGAAAACCACATTAAGTATAAAGACACAGATCATAAGTAAAAAGATATTAAAAAATGCAAATGATAATCAAAGGAAAGGAGGGGTGTTTATGTTATTAGGATAATTAGTCTTTAGAAGAAAGAATACTTTCATAGATAAAGAGGAATACAGTTGATCCTTGAATAACATGGTTTTGAACTGTGCAGGTCCAATTATGAGAATTTTCTTCTGTCTTTGTCACCCCTCAGACAGCAGGACCAATCTCTCCTCTTACTGTTCCTCCTCAGACTACTCCACCTGAAGACTATGAGGGTAAAGACCTTTATGATGATTCATTTTCACTTAATAAATAATAAATATACTTTTTCTTGCTTATGGTTTTCTTAATAACATTTTCTTTTCTCTAAATTACTTTAAGAACACAGTATATAATACATTTAACATACAAAATAGGAGTTAATCAACTCTTTATGTTATCAGTAAGGCTTCCAGTCAAAAGTAGGCCATTAACGGATTTGTTTTTGGAGACTCAAAATTTATACCCTGATTTTTACTGTGCAAGGAGTTAGCATGCCTAATCCTTGCATTGTTCAATGGTTAACTATATTTCATAATGAAAAGAGGTTAAATTATCAAGTGGATACAATTTTAAATGTGTAGGCGTACAAACTCAGAGTTTAAAAAAATATAAAGCAAAATAAGAAAGAAGTAAAAAATGGTAATTCCAATGTTACAGTAGGACACTTCAACTTACTATTTGACAGAATACATGAAAAGAAAATCAATAAGCATATGGAATATTTGAACAATACTATAAAGTAGCATGATCTAACTGACATTTATAGAACACTCCACCCAACACAGCAGAATACACATTATTTTCAAGTGCACTTAAAACATTTACCAAAATAGAACACATGCTGAGATACGAAACATTTCTCAACAAACTTAATTGTGCTGTAATTATTCGTTATTGTATGAAAAAGTCTACATTGTAACCCTTAAAAATTCCCAGAAGCAAACAAATGGAAATAGATCATATGCATAAATGTAAGAGAACAAATTCTAAAACTTCAAGTAGAAAGTAGGAGAAAATACTTGTGAGCTGGGTTAGGCAGCAATTTCTTAAGCAGACAAACAAATTAACCATAAAAGAAAATAATTACAAGTTTAGCTGTTTAAAAAACATGGTTAACATTGGTAAGGAAATCAAAAGGCAACCTAAGAGTGGGAGAAAATATTTGAAAAGCTGTATCTCATAAAGGACTTGTATCTAAAATATTTAAAAGAATGTTTATATCTCATTAATAAGAACACAATCAAACCAATTAATATGGAGAAAGATTTGAACAAATATTGAAGCAAAGAAGCTACATAAAATTTCAAGAAGCATTATTAGGCACTCTGGAAATACAAATTAAAATCATAATGAGATACCACTACCACCCATTACTTAGCAATGTCACTCCTAGTTATTTACCCAAGAGAACAGAAAACCTATGTCTATTTAAAAAAGCCTCAAATATAAATATTAATAGCAACTTTATTCATAGTAACCAAATCCTTGTAACAATTCAAACATCCATCAACTGAATAAACACACTATGGTTTACTCAAATAATGAAATACTGCTCAAAAATAAAAAGAATAAAATGTTAATAATACACATATAAATTTGGATGCATTGCAAAGGCATTAGGCTAAGTGAAAGAACTCAGAGACAAAATACTTCATTCTCTATGATTCCAATTTTTAGAAAAGGCAAAACTATAGTGAAAGAACAGAAAATAATTGGTTGCCAAGAAACAGGAGCCAAGCAAGGATACTGACTACAAAGAGGTACCAGAACTTTTTAGGATGCTGGAAAGCTTCTATGTCTTCATTGTGGTAATGGTTACATAAATGCATTACATTTGTTATAACTCACTTAATAGTGCGTTTAAAACTGGCGAATTGGATTGTATGTGCGTTATTTCATTCTCATGCTGCTAATAAAGAAATACCTGAGACTGGGTCACTTGTAAAGAAAAGAGGTTTAATTGACTCACACTTCAGCCTGGCTGGGGAGGCCTCAGGAAACTTGCAACCATTGTGGAAGGAGAAGCAAACACATCCTTCTTCACATGTGGTGGCAAGGAGAAGTGCCAAGCAAAAGGGGGAAAAGCCCCTTACATAACCATCAGATCTTGCCAGAACTCACTATCACTACCCGCATGAGGGTAACTGCCCCCATGATTTAATTACCTCCCACCGGGTCCCCCTCTTGACATTTGGGGATTATGGAAACTACAATTCAAGATGAGATTTGCGTGGGGACACAGACAAACCATATCATACTGCCCCAGCCCCTCCCTAATCTCATGTCCTCACATTTGAAAACACAATCATACCCTTCCATCAGTACCCTAAAGTCTTAACACATTCCAGCATTAACTCGAAAGTCCAAGTCCAAAGCTTCATCTGAGACAAGGCAAGTCCCTTCTGCCTATGAGCCTGTAAAATCAAAAGCAAGTTAATTATTCCCTAGATACAATGGGGGTACAGGCATTGGGTAAGTACACCCATTCCAAAAGGAAGAAATTGGCCAAAACAAAGGGGCTACAGGCCTCATGCAAGTCTGAAATCCAGCAGAGCAGTCAAAAGCTCCAGAATGATCTCCTTTGACTTCATGTCTCACATCCAAGTCACGCTGATGCAAGAGGTGGGTTTCCATGGCTGTGGGCTGCTCCATCCCTGTGGCTTTGCGGGGTACGGCCTCCCTCCTGATTGCTTTCACAGGCTGGCATTGAGTGTCTGTGGCTTTTCCAGTTACATGGTGCAAGCTGTCAGTGGATCTACCATTCTAGGGTCTGGAGGACAGTGGCGCTCTTCTCACAGCTCCACTAGAAGTGCCCCAGTGGGGACTCTGCATGGGGGCTTCAAACCCACATTTCCCTTATGCACTGCCCTAGCAGAGGTTCTCCATGAGGGCCCTGCCTCTGCAGCAAACTTCTTCCTAGACATCCAGGCCTTTCCATACTTCCTCTGAAATCTAGGCAGAGGTTCCAAAACCTCAATTCTTAACTTCTGTGCACCCTCAGGCTCAACACCATGTTGAAGCTGCCAAGGCTTGGGGCTTGCCAAAGCTTGGGGCTCGCACTCTATAAAGCAATGGTGTGAGCTGTACTTTGACCCCTTTTAGTCATGGCTAGAGCAGCTGGGATGCAGAGCACCAAGTCCTTAGGCTCCACACAGCAGGAGGGACCTTGGCCCTGCCCATGAAAACATTTTTTCCTCTTGGCCTCTGGGCCTGTGATGGAAGGGCTGTTACAAAGGTCTCTGACATGACCTGGAGACATTTTCCCCATTGTCCTGGTGATTAACATTTAGCTCCTCATTACTTATGCAAATTTATGCAGCCCACTTGAATTTGTCCTCAGAAAATGAGTTTTTCTTTTCTATTGCATTATCAGGCTGCAAATTTTCCAAACTTTTATGCTCTGTTTCCCTTTTAAAACTGAATACTTTTAAGGGCACCTAAGTCACATCCTGAATGCTGTGCTGCTTAGAAATTTCTTCTGACAGAAACCCTAAATCATCTTCCTCAAGTTCAAAGTTCCACAAGTCTCTAGGGCAGGGCAAAATGCCACCAGTCTCTTTGCTAAAACATAGCAAGCATCACATTTACTCCAGTTCCCAACAAGTTCCTCATCTCTATCTTAGAACACCTCAGCCTGGATTTCATTGTTCATATCATTATCAGCATTTTTGTCAAAGTCATTCAACAGCCTCTGGGAGGTTCCAAAATTTCCCATATTTTCCTGTCTTCTGAGCCCTCCAAACTCTTCCAACCTCTGCCTGTTACCCAGTTCCAAAGTTGCTTCCACATTATCAGGTATTTTTACAGCAGAACCCCACTCTGCTGGTACCAATTTGCTGTATTAGTCTGTTCTCTCACACTGCTGATAAAGACATACCTGAGACAGGGTAATTTATAAAGAAAAAGAGGTTTAATAGACTCACAGTTTCACATAGATGGGGAGGCCTCACAATTATGGCAGAAGCCGAAAGGCACATTTTACATGATGGCAGTCAAGAGAGAATAAGAGCCAAGTGAAAAGGAAAGCCTCTTATAAAACCATCAGATCTCATGACACTTATTCACTACCATGAGAAAAGTATGGAAGAAACCACCCCCCCATGGTTCAATTATCTCCCCCTGGGTCCCTCCCACAGCATGTGGGAAATATGAGAGCTACAATTCAAGATGAGATTTGTGTGGGGACACAGCCAAACCATATCATTCTGGCAGTGGCAAAATGCTGCCAGTCTCTTTACATAGCAAGAGTGACCTTTACTGCAGTTCCCAACAAGTTCCTCATCTCCACCTGAGACCACCTCCGCCTGTACTTTTTTGTCCATATTACCATCAGCATTCTGGTCAAAGCCATTCAACAAGTCTCTAGAAAGTTCCAACCTTTCCCACATTTTCCTGTATTTTGTGAGCCCTCCACACGGTTCCAGTCTCTGCCTGTTACCCATTTCTAAAGTCGCTTCTACATTTACAGCAGTGCCCCACTCTCTGGGATACAAATTTATTGTATTAGTTCATTTAAATGCTGCTAATAAAGACATACCGGAGACTGGGTAATTTATAAAGGAAAAAGGTTTAATGGACTCACAGTTCAGCTTGGCTGGGGAGGTCTGAGAAAACTTACAATCATGGTGGAAGGGGAAGCAGATACATCCTTCTTTACACGGTGGCAGCAAGAAGCGCCAAGCAAAAGTGGGGAAAGCTCCTCATAAAGTCATCAGATCTTGTAAGAACTCACTATCATGAGAACAGCATGATGGTAACTACGCCATGATTAAATTAGCTCCCAGTGGGTTCCTCCCACAGCATGTGGGGATTATGGGAACGATAATTCACAATGAGATTTGGGTGAGGACACAGCCAAATCATATCATTGTGTAAACAATAATAAGGCTGATTAAATAATCATATCCCCTTCCCCCAGAAAGCAAGACTAACAAAAAATGATTTGGAGCCTAACTCTCTGGGTTTCAATTCTGGCTTTGCTAGTCAGTAGTTTTGTGACCTTAGAAACATGACATACCCTCTCTCTGTTATCTGTACCAAGAGGATAATGATGTCTGCCTCACAGGCTTGTTGTCATCTAACTATGTAAAGCACATAGATGAGTGCTCAGCAGAAGTAAGTGATCAGTGAGTTCCTGCTGTTCCTCAGCTATTGCTCCTGACTTTGCTACTCAAATATTTATGACAGTGATTGAATCCTTTAAATTCTATTTATTTTTTTCAACATTAAAATGTTATTACTACATGGATCTCTATAATCTTTCAAGCTTTCTGATACCCTAGAGTCTATAAATACATGGAAAATGTTTTTACTCTCTTAGAAGACATTCTTCAAAAAATGGATTCAGGGAAGGTTTCTGAAAGAAGCAACTGCACTCTGAAAATATTTATGTTTGTCTAATAGATAAATTCACTTTATTTTGCAAAACTCTTAAGATGGTATGCATTTATTACCTTAAATAAATCATGTTTTGCCATGGAGATACAGTAAAAATATATAAATTTGACCAAAATCTAGTATATTGTTCACCAGAAGAACTTTTTTTATAGCTTTGCTTTAATTTATTATAAATTAGATAAAATTGTCTTTCAAGATTGATGAAAACTTCTCAATTTGTTTAATGTAGGCCTACAAGTGTTCCTTAATGTATACTATTTAGGAGGTCAAACTCAATGGCTTGTATCTAATCAGCACTTTTTCCCCCTCCCCCATCCTCTCCATCCCCCCCATCCCCACCCCATTTCACTTCTGATGCTGTCCTCGATAATATAGTGATGTTCAACTAGCTGGAGGCTATACATATCAGGTAGCAGAATCTTGACAGATGTTTGACAGAATTATGTGTTTTTTCTATTCAATATATTTACCCTAAGGTGATTTATAGTGGAATGAATGAGAATCTAATGGTGAAAAGACTAAGTACTCAAGAATTACTTGAGCTACTGTGTAGAATTGAGGTGGAAGGTCTGTTCTCTTCAGAAATTCTGCCAAAGACTATTTCACTTCCTACAGGAAGAAAGGGACATGTTTTAAGAGCTCAGCCATCTTAAAGCTCTTAGGTATAAATCATGCATTTTTTCTGTCATAGTATAACACAATCCTTGCTTTCAAATCTCTTAGACAAATATATTAAGATTAATTTCAATTAATAAAATGTCCTCACATCTTCTTGCATTCACTATATGAAAATTCCTGATGATTGCTTGCATATTTAATAAATACCATAGGTTATAGCTGTCCTATTTTGGCTAAAAATTGATTTACCCTCTGGTAAATGTTTGAGGGGAGAGGAGCATGGTTACATTTCTTTTCAGCATTTTCTTGAAAGATGCTTTATGCAAAGACAGCCAAGCTCTTGAGTCTAATTCATTAACAGGCCTGCAGCCAATGTAAGTGCTTGGGGGTACTGTGGGCTGTCATCATGCACTTTGCTCACTGAAGATGAAACCCCCACATGGTTGCCCAGCCTCAGTATCACGAGAGGCTCTTTAAGTCTAAAATTAAGGCTCACTGGCTACTGAATGTATGTGTTTTATCTTTATTTTTTCCCATATTTTTCTGTGCTTTGAGGTAATATCCCTCACTTGGAGGCTATGATCCATTAATAGTGGAGTTGTGCAAGACTAGAGACTTTTCCTCCACTCCAGAGGCTTCCATTATTCATCATATAAATGGGAGTGCATAAAGGTATTTCTATCGTGTTTAACTCCATGTGACAGTAAAATTGAAGTTCAAACTCAACTCTCCCATCTTCAAGAAGTCAAGATAATTAATCTTAATTAGTAAATCATTCAGAAGTTTGTTATTAAGTACCACTGAGTACTTTGTTTTTTCTAGAAGATAATAGTTTCAGTGAAATTTCAGTCAAAGAGAGGATATAACTAAAGGCACTTAAAAGCAATTATAAAATTATCCAAGATAGAAAAATCACAGCTGGATTATAAATTCCACATAATTAATTTAATGTGAAGAAAAACGAAGCATCTTCATTTTCTAAAAAAAATTAATCTGATGTTTGCCCAAACCGCAACCTGATTTTTAAGTGGAAGAATAGGGTATGTACACACCCACACACACCTCGCCCTCCCGACAATATATATGATGTATATGTATATGTATGTGTGTGTGTGTGTGTGTATGTGTGTGTGTGTATGAGTGTGTGTGTGTGTGTATAATATGGTTTAAACATTTTGGTACTCTAATTCGGTGAAACTGTTTTCAGTCTCTCAGCTCCTCCTGTCTCTGGATCTTTTTCTTAATATTGAATCCTGGCTACACTATTCCCAGCACTTTATTTTTTTATTTTATTTTTTGTATCAGTCTCTGTTTAAAATTCTGTTTCTTAGGCAAAATCTCTGAATAAATCAAGAATAGGTCCTTAAGACCTATGGAGTTAGGTTATTGGTTTTATATTTTTCTTCTTTTTTTTAATTTGGGTGTTTAAAGCTATGAATTTGCTTCTGAGTATGGCTTTTAATGAATCCCATGTGTTTTGGTGTGTTGTGTTCTCAGTTTTATTAATCTCAAAGTATTTTCACTTATAATTTCTTTTTCATTTATTGGTTGCTTAAGAGTGTATTTTTAAATTTTTACACAATGAAAATTGGAAAAATGGAAACAATATGCAATATACTTAAAATATACATTAGTTGCATCAAAAATAAAATAAATACTAAAGAAAATATAATAATTGATTTGGAAAATGATGAATTTTCCAATTCCTTTTAATTTTGGTTGATAGAATTATATTACCCTTTTCTCTAACTTTTTATCTCTATAACTGGTGTTATGTGTTTGTAATTTACTTAAATAATTTAGCCTAGATAGAGTGACATGGTATTTATATCTATGCTATCCCATTCTAATCTAAGCCCTAAAATAGTTTACTATCTAATTAAGGACACGTATTATTGGTTTGGGTAAGTACAATTTGATCAAAAAGCCACACTTCCCTAGGAAGGCACTGCAGGCCTCCATCTATCTTTATGTCAGATGATTTTCAATTACATAATAGTTGTTTAAAATCATTTCCATTGAAGAGTTAGTGACATCAAACCTTTGACGTGGCTAGAAATATTGTTTCAGGGTCTTCAATCTTACACGAACAGAAAAAAAAAATGTAACTGTCAGTTTGTATACACTCTTGGGAATTCTCCTGAGGTTGAGTTTTGAATTATCCTGTATTCAGGTGCAAATTTATGGAGGCTGCTTGAACCCAAAGTTACATAAATCACACCTTTAGAATTCTGGATCCTTTGAAGATTGATTCTGGGAATATAAAATGGTGGTACTACCCTGGAAAACATTTTTTTCATTTTTTCAAATATTAAACATATATTTACCAGCAATTTCACCCCTAGGTATCTAGTCCTAATTTCTCCATATCTTCACTGACACTTGTAAATTGTTTGTTTTTTTTTATTATTGCCAGTCAAGTCGCTGTGAATTAGTGTCTTATTGTGGTTCTGATTTGCATTTTCCTAATGACTAATAATGTGGAGAAAAATTGTATATACTTTGGTAAAGTGTGTACTCAAATATTTTTGCCCATTTTAAAATTGGATTAATTAATTGGTTGGGCACAGTGGCTCATGCCTGTAATCCCAGCACTTTGGGAAACTGATGTGGGCAGATCACTTGAGGTCAGGAGTTTGAGACCAGCCTAGCCAACATGGTGAAGCCCTGTCTCTAATAAAAATACAAAAATTAGCTGGGCGTGCTGGCAAGTGCCTCTAATCCCAGCTACTCAGGAGGCTGAGGCAGGAGAGTCACTTGAACCTGGGAGGCGAAGGTTCCAGTGAGCCAAGATCACACTATTGCACCCAGCCTGGGCAAGAGAGTGAGACTTCATCTCAGGAAAAAAAAAGAAAAGAAAAAGAAAAACACTGGATTATGATTGAGTTGTAAGAGTTTGTAATGTATTCTGGATGCAAATCCCTTACTGGATATATGATTTGCAAATATTTTCTCCCAGTTTGTACCTTTTCTTTTCTTTTACTTGATAGTTTCTTTGATACAAAAAGTTTTTTATTTTGATATACTTCAGCTTATCTTTTTTTCATCACTTGCATTCTTAGTACTATATCTAAGAAATTGTTGCAGAAACAACAATCACAGATATTTACCCTTATGCTTTCTTATACGGGTTTTAGCCTTTACATTTAGGTTTCTATTTCTCAATACTTTTTAACTTTCTGACCCTACAAGATGTTCTAGATTAATCGTTTATTCTCTGCCTTAACCCTGAAATAAACCATGTATCCAAGTTACTCTGGTTTTTATACAGAAAAACTAGTATCAATATCTCTACTTAGGAGCTTAGTAGTGTGCTTGTTTCTAATGGAATGTAATTGTTCTAGGCCTTCTCAGCAGACAGGGCTTGGAAATATATGTGTGCATACTATGTTCATTTATTATATTCATCAATCTGTATTTATATCAAACTAGCCATGAGTTCATAATAATGTATGCAACTCGAATACAGGGAGGATGATCACATTTTATTCCAGCTCTTCCCTTTGCTTATCTGTACCTTCCTATTGCAATAGTGAGAAGCCTGGCTCTCTCCATATGCCAACAATTCCCTTATTTGCTCAATCACAGTATACATATATAGTGGATATGTATGTATACTCCATGCCTCTATGAACTGGAGTTCATTGGCTATACACAGATTATTTTGTCTTTGGTCTTACATTCTTCACTTATTTCCAAACTTATTTGGAGCAACAACTCTTTTTCCCTTATCCTGAAAGAAGAGTTAAATCACACTTTTAAAATACGGTTAGATTCTCTTTTTGTACAGTCTGCATTCCAAAGTGGAATTTCCCAACTTCCTAATTAATTGTTTCTTTTATCTGCACACATTAAAGTTTACTCTTTATGACATAAATGTTTATGGGTTTTGACAAATGCATGGACATGTATACACCACTACAATATCAAACAGAATGTGTGGTGGCCCCCTACTAGTAATTGTGGCCTCCCAGGAACTTCTAACTCTTATACTAGTTGATACTGAGCCTCTAGGAATTCATGAAAATTAATAATGAAGTAAGTGATTCTACTTGTTTTGACTTCCAGTAGCTTCTTTTCAGATAGTCAGATCTCTATTGATGTATTTCTCTGGATGCACCTAACTCTTCCGATTTGGGGGTAAGAATTTGACATAGAGCTTTACTCCTGTGACAGATCCAAGGAAAAATCACAGATTTTTTAGTTTGTAAAGCCTTTTCTTGTTGCAAGTACAGGAGTGACAGCTTCCAAGCTCTTTACATGTTGGAGTTGAAAGTGAGAGTTGACTAATTATATTTTTTGAAATTTAAAAAATAGTTCTGTTCTGCAAATTATAATATATATCTTATCAGAATGAGAATCTTTTCAGAATTATTTCAACTTAATTCTAGGAGATATATGAATAACATTGGTTCAACAGTTACATTCTCTCCCCACTCATTTTTGCCATTATTGTTATATATATCATATAGATTTATGTTAAAAACCCAACAGTACAGCATTGTGATTTTTGCTTTATATACTTGCATGTCTTTTAAGAAAGCACAAGATAAGGAAGGAGTAAAATTATATATATATATATACACACATATGTATATATATATACAGATATGTATATATATACACATATGTGTATATATATACACACACATATATATACATATATATACATATATATATATACATATATATACATATATATATATACATATATATATATATCTCCTGCTTATTTATCCTTTCTGTCACTCTTCATCTGTTCTTATGGATTCAAGATATCATTTGTTGTTGCTGCCTGGTTACAGTATAGCTACATTTATTACCCCTTTCTCTGGGCTGTTTTTTTCATACATACATGTCTATGTTATAAGCCCAGCAATACACTTTAATAATTATTGTTTTAACAACTGCTTTTCAAATCAGTTAAGAAAAGATAAAAGTATATAATTATACTGTCTTTTCTAGCCATTTGCATAATTACCTTCCAGCACTCTTATTTTTTCTCATGTGAATATGAATTGTTGTCTGGGATCACTTATTTTTATTCTGAAGAACTTCCTTTATTATTTCTTGTATAGCAAGTCTACTAACAAGAAATTCTTTCACCCTTTATCTGCAAATATCTTTATTTCACCCTCCATCATTTTGAAGGATACTTTTTCTGAGTATAGAATTCTTGGCTGTTTGACAAGTTTAATTTCTTTTGTTGTTTGTCTCGTTTTGTTTTTGTTTTTAACACTCTTTGTAGGTCATCCCCCTGCATTCTAGCACCTTTGTTTTTTATAGGGAACCACCTGTTATTCTCATTGCAATCATTGCAATCATTGACGGAATCATTGCAATTCCGTCATATGTGAGGAGTCACTTTTTGTTGGCTGTTTATAAAATTATCTCTGACTTTGGCTTTCAATAGTTTTACTATGATAGGTATGGATTTTTAAAAAATTATCCTACTAGGAGTTTGTCGAGCTTCTTGAATGTATAAATTAATGTTAATCATTAAATTTGAGAATTGTTAAGCCATTATTTCTTTAAATATGTTCAGCCCTTTTGTATTAGTTTTGTATGCTGCATAACAAAGTATCACAAACTCCATGGTTTAAACTACACTCATTTATTACCTCTTTCCTTCTGGGGCCAGAAATCTAAGGACAGCCTTATTATTTTCTGATTAACACATTATCAAAAATTAAGTAGTTTAAAACAGCACAGCACAGATTTACTATTTCACACTTCTGGAAGTCAGAAGTCCAAAATGAGTTTCACTGAACTAAAAACAATTTGAGTGCACTACATCACTTCTTGAGGTCCTAGTGTAAAATTCATTCCCTTTGTTTTTTCCAGCATACAAATCTGCCTGTGTTCTATGGCTTCTGGCCTCTTCCTGAATCTTGATTTATGCAACAATATGGGTGAATCCTAAATGTATTGTACTGAGTGAAAAAGCCAAACCTAAAATGCTACATAATGTATTTTTTTTACTTACATGACAGTGTGAAAAAAGTAAAACCATGGACCCTGAAAGCAGGTAAGTGGTTGCCAGTTTTGTGGTGTGGGGAGTGTTTGACTACAGAGAGGCATAACAAGGGAAATTTTGAGATGATGGGCTTGTTCTGTGTTGCATTGTGCTGGTGAAATGCTAGATATTTGTCTAAACTCATAAAACTTCCTACAACAAAGCGTAAATTTTTATATGCAGATTAAAAATAATCAACTTGAATATTATGCAAAACCAAAATTGAATGCAGACTATGACAAATGAATCTATGTATATTGCACATAATTGAAATGATCATGGTGAATGGAGTGATGAAGAAATAAGCTGCCCTGTGTAACTTAAAAAAATAACATTGATCTGACTGGATATTGTAAGGCTAAAGACAAAACATATTAGTATGCAAACATTGTATTCTATTTAATTGGTGTAATTTGAGATATGGTTTTACTGTGTCCCCACCAAAATCTCATCTTGAATTGTAGCTCCCATAATTTCCACGTGTCATGGGAGGGACCCGGTTGTGGGGGCCAGGTAATTGAATCATGAGGGCGGGTCTTTCCTGTGCTGTTCTCATGATACTGAATAAGTCTCACGAGATCTGATGGTTTTATAAAGGGGAGCTCCCCTGCACATGCTCTCTTGCCTCCTGCCATGTAATACATGACTTTGCTCCTCATTTGCCTTCAGCCATGATTGTGTAGCCTCCCCAGCTATGTGAAATTGTGAGTCAATTAAACCTCTTTCCTTTACAAATTAGCCAGTCTCAGGTATGTCTTATTAGCAGCAGGAGAATAGACTAATACAGTTTGAATGTTTGTCCCCTCCAAATCTCATGTTGAAATGTAATCCCTAGTGTTGGAAGTGAGGCCTTTTGAAAGATGTCTGGGTCATGGGGGCAGAACCCTTGTGAATGGCTTAGCACCATCTCCTTGGTGATGAGGGAGGAGTTATTGCTCAATGAGTTCACATGAGATGTGGTTGTTTTAAAAGAAACTGGCACCTCCCTCCTCTCTCTCCTTTGTTCCCACTCTCATCATGTGATATGCCAGCTTCCCCTTTGCCTTCTGCCATGACTAAAAGCTTCCTGAGGTTCTCACCAGGAGCAGATGCTGGTATCATGTCTTCCATATAGCCTACAGAATTGTGAGCCAATGAAATCACTTTTCTTTGTAAATTACCCAGTTTCAGGTATTACTTTATAGTAATGAAAATGGACTACACATTGACAATATTTTTTCTCATAATGGTGAGGGTTAACAATTCTGAAATAACTCTAAATATAAATCATATTTGAAGAAGTAAGTAAATATATTGAAGTAAATGAGAGCCACTTTCTCACTGTCAGAGAAACAGGAGATAACGCCAAGATGAAACGTGCTGCTTAATTGAAGATGAAGGTATCATTTTTGCCTCATGGATATATAGATTGAAAGAAATAGAAAGATATAAAAATGAATACAGATAACAGATACATGTATATAAATGGGTCGTACAAAAAGAAATATGACCCAGCTTTGTCCAATAAGAGAGCCTAAAAGAAGTATACCCCAGCAGTAATGAGCATACCTAGTTCCTGGATTTTGGTTTGTAAATATCATTCTTCATTAACAGGAATGAGAGCTCCTTAGAGATGTGGCTAGTTCTAGGACAAAGAAAGAGAAAATAGAAGTTAACCATAGAGCTTTCTGTGGCATCAGAAAGTTGGAAAGTGCTAAAACATAAGTTTGGGCAAGTAAAAAGGAAAGAAGAATCAAATAAAAAGAGACCCAAATATCCAAAGCTAGAACAATTTTGCACAAAATAATTAAATAGTGCTAGCCTCTAACCCTGAGATGGTAAATTTATTGTGTCAATTTGACTGGGACACTGCGTGCCAGATTAATGGTCAAACATTATTCTGAGTGCATCTGTGAGGGTGATTCTGGATGATGTTACCATTAGAATCAGTAGACTGAGTAAAACAATTTTTTCTTCCTAGTGTGGGTGGGCTTCATCCAATCAGTTGAAGGCCTGAATAGAACAAAAAGCTGATCCCCTAAGGAGTAAGCAGGATTTTTTTTTTCGCTTTTAGACTTAAACTGAAATGGCACTTTTTCCTATATCAATCCTGCCAGCATTTGGACTAGAAATTACATCATCAGCTTTCCTGGTTCTCAGATTTTCAGAATTAAACTGCTATGACACCTTTGGCTTTCAAGGGTCTCCAGCTTGATGATTGCAGATCTTGGGACTTGTTAATCTCCATAATCATGTGAGTCAATACATTTTAATAAATAAATCTCTTTCTCCTCCCTCCCTCTCTTTCTCTCCATCTTTGTCATTAGTTATGTTTCTCTAGAGAATCCTAACTCATACAAACCTGAAGAATAAAATAAATATCCATGAGACCATGCCAATATAAATAAGTGGTTGAATGAGTAAACAAGTGGAGAATAAGGGATAATTAGTCCCTAGAGAATAATTCCAAATAACAAATATGGATGACAAGAAAAAATAAAAATTACTGTTGAAAACCTATGTGATTATTACTGCAGTGAAGATACACTGATAAATGTTAAAATCAGTGGGTAAAATTTTAAGCAGAAACAGAATGTTTGCATAGTCTCAAATTTTCTCTCTCCAGATATTTGTTAATTACAAAAGGAAAAACTGTAACATTATAGTGGAGGAACCTGTTGGCCACCACCTTGACAAGGTGATCAAGTTTAACAACCCCATAATAGGATATCTTGTTGTCATGTGTCTCCTGATATAACAATGTGGTATTCTTCTGGAAAAAAAAACAAAAAACCATGGTCTCAATTTAATCATGAGTACACATGAGACAAATTCATATTGAAGGACAGTTTACAAGGTACTTATCTACTATTCATCAAATGAGTCAGGGTCATAAAAGACAAGGAAGAATTAAGGAACTAACACATATTGGAGGAAACTAGGTAAACAGGACAACTAAATTCAATCAGTGTAGGATGTCGGATTACATTCTGAAACAGAAAAAGAACATTAGTAGAAAGACTGGTGAAATATAAAGTCTGTAGTCTATTCACTTTTATTGTACAATGTTAATTTCTTAGTTTTGACAATCATACTGTGGTTATTTGGGAAGCTAACACTGGAGGAATCTGAGTGAAGAGTGTCTAAGGGTTTTCTTAACTACTTTTACAACTGCTCTATAAACCTAAAATTATTTAAAAATGAAAACTTACAACAGTAACTTGTATACCCAGGGGGGAGGAGCCAAGATGGCCGAATAGGAACAGCTCCGGTCTACAGCTCCCAGCGTGAGCGACGCAGAAGACGGGTGATTTCTGCATTTCCATCTGAGGTACCGGGTTCATCTCACTAGGGAGTGCCAGACAGTGGGGCAGGTCAGTGGGTGCGTGCACCGTGCGCGAGCCGAAGCAGGGCGAGGCATTGCCTCTCTTGGGAAGCGCAACGGGTCAGCGAGTTCCCTTTCTGAGTCAAAGAAAGGGGTGATGGACAGGCACCTGGAAAATCGGGTCACTCCCACCCGAATACTGCGCTTTTCCGAAGGGCTTAAAAAACGGTGCGCCACGAGATTATATCCCGCACCTGGCTCGGAGGGTCCTACGCCCACAGAGTCTCGCTGATTGCTAGCACAGCAGTCTGAGATCAAACTGCAAGGTGGCAGCGAGGCTGGGGGACGGGCGCCTGCCATTGCCCAGGCTTGATTAGGTAAACAAAGCAGCCGGGAAGCTCGAACTGAGTGGAGCCCACCACAGCTCAAGGAGGCCTGCCTGACTCTGTAGGCTCCACCTCTGGGGGCAGGGCACAGACAAACAAAAAGACAGCAGTAACCTCTGCAGACTTAAATGTTCCTGTCTGACAGCTTTGAAGAGAGCAGTGGTTCTCCCAGCACACAGCTGGAGATCTGAGAAGGGGCAGACTGCCTCCTCAAGTGGGTCCCTGACCCCTGACCCCTGGGCAGCCTAACTGGGAGGCACCCCCCAGCAGGGGCACACTGACACCTCACACGGCAGGGTATTCCAACAGACCTGCAGCTGAGGGTCCTCTCTGTTAGAAGGAAAACTAACAAACAGAAAGGACATCCACACCAAAAACCCATCTGTACATCACCATCATCAAAGACCAAAAGTAGATAAAACCACAAAGATGGGGAAAAAACAGAACAGAAAAACTGGAAACTCTAAAAAGCAGAGCGCCTCTCCTCCTCCAAAGGAACGCAGTTCCTCACCAGCAACGGAACAAAGCTGGATGGAGAATGACTTTGACGAGCTGAGAGAAGAAGGCTTCAGACGATCAAGTTACTCTGAGCTACGGGAGGACATTCAAACCAAAGGCAAAGAAGTTGAAAACTTTGAAAAAAATTTAGAAGAATGTATAACTAGAATAACCAATACAGAGAAGTGCTTAAAGGAGCTGATGGAGCTGAAAACCAAGGCTCGAGAACTACGTGAAGAATGCAGAAGCCTCAGGAGCCGATGCGATCAACTGGAAGAAAGGGTATCAGCAATGAAAGATGAAATTAATGAAATGAAGCGAGAAGGGAAGTTTAGAGAAAAAAGAATAAAAAGAAATGAGCAAAGCCTCCAAGAAATATGGGACTATGTGAAAAGACCAAATCTACGTCTGACTGGTGTACCTGAAAGTGACGGGGAGAATGGAACCAAGTTGGAAAATACTCTGCAGGATATTATCCAGGAGAACTTCCCCAATCTAGCAAGGTAGGCCAACATTCAAATTCAGGAAATACAGAGAACACCACAAAGATACTCCTCGAGAAGAGCAACTCCAAGACACATAATTGTCAGATTCACCAAAGTTGAAATGAAGGAAAAAATGTTAAGGGCAGCCAGAGAGAAAGGTCGGGTTACCCACAAAGGGAAGCCCATCAGACTAACAGCGGATCTCTCAGCAGAAACCCTACAAGCCAGAAGAGAGTGGGGGCCAATATTCAACATTCTTAAAGAAAAGAATTTTCAACCCAGAATTTCATATCCAGCCAAACTAAGCTTCATAAGTGAAGGAGAAATAAAATCCTTTACAGACAAGCAAATGCTGATAGATTTTGTCACCACCAGGCCTGCCTTACAAGAACTCCTGAAGGAAGCACTAAACATGGAAAGGAACAACCGGTACCAGCTGCTGCAAAATCATGCCAAAATGTAAAGACCATTGAGACTAGGAAGAAACTGCATCAACTAACGAGCAAAATAACCAGCTAACATCATAATGACAGGATCAAATTCACACATAACAATATTAACTTTAAATGTAAATAGACTAAATGCTCCAATTAAAAGACACAGACTGGCAAACTGGATAAAGAGTCAAGACCCATCAGTGTGCTGTATTCAGGAAACCCATCTCATGTGCAGAGACACACATAGGCTCAAAATAAAAGGATGGAGGAAGATGTACCAAGCCAATGGAAAACAAAAAAAGGCAGGGGTTGCAATCCTAGTCTCTGATAAAACAGACTTTAAACCAACAAAGATCAAAAGAGACAAAGAAGGCCATTACATAATGGTAAAGGGATCAATTCAACAAGAAGAGCTAACTATCCTAAATATATATGCACCCAATACAGGAGTACCAAAATTCATAAAGCAAGTCCTGAGTGACCTACAAAGAGACTTAGACTCCCACACAATAACAATGGGAGACTTTAACACCCCACTGTCAACATTAGACAGATCAACAAAAAATCCTATTCGAATAAAAACAAATCAGAATCCTGACCTGAACTTCTCCTCTTCTGGATAAATCATGTTAATTTCTTTAAACTTTCTTCACACATTTAAAGAAATACTATTTATCCTTGTTTTTCTGCTCTGCATTCTCTCTAGATACTCTTTAACTCCCTTAAATTTTGGTGTTGCAGTATTCTGATTGACTAAGCCAAAGCGGGCAATATTAGCATCAATATTCACTTCACTGTGATGCAAGCTGGAGCTATGCAAACCTGTCTTGAAATACTAATAAGAGAAATGATCCAGGAGGGAACCTCAGAATTCTAAAGAACATAAATACAGACAAGAGAGCAAAGGATATAAGAAAAACTAAAGGCTAAGACTGGAAATAGTTGACTAAACTTTTAAAAGTATGGATTATAAATATAATTATTGTTTATAAATTATGTACTTATTCATACATTTTCCATAACTTAAATTCTAATTGTAGAATTTAAAATAGACAATAAACTTTGTAAAACACCTAAAATTTTACTTTAAATTCTCATCTACTTAAAAAATATTGCAGTAAAATATTACTTATGTTAAATTTACTTTCCATAATAGACAATGAAAAAATAACTTAAACCATCCAAAATTAAAAAGTGAGAAAATTTCATATTAGAATACACTGCAAGTAGAAGTCATTCTAGGTTCTCATCAGGTGTTGTGGTTAGCCATATACATGACTTTATCTAAGTCACTTCACCTCTCTGAGTCAGCTTCAGGATGATAGTGTGGAGATGTGTCAACTCTCACAGCAAAATTCTAGCAGGAGATCTTCATTCACTTCACAGTCTTTTGAAAAGCACCCCTGGAATTGTACAAAAGTGTGGCCCTTCCTAAAGTGCAGATATTTTTCTTCTTAAATGAATACATCAAGTTCCTCAGAGTTTCAAAATTAAAGAAATAATAAGTAGGGGACAACCTGGAGTCTAGAATTTGATTCAAAAAAGGAGAATTTCTGGACAAGGATCACAGTTCTGTATAGGTAGGACAATTCCAGCATGCCCTGGATATCTGCCTATAATCTTGCCATCTCTCTGCTCAGTTATTTTTAAAATTTAGGTAGAACACATATACCGAAAAATACTTTAATATGAAATGTACACCTGAACATAATATTTTTGATATTCACCCTGATTTTTGCACATAGCAATATGTTATGTTGCCAAATAGAATTTCATTAAAGGAATAGACTTCCCTTTATTTATTTATTCTACTTACAATTAGCTTTTAATTCCATCTCTGTAAGAAGACATTGTAAGTAAGGCAATTTGGTTATACCTGAATACGAGGTTGTTTTGGTAGATATTGGTTGCTTCCAACAGTTGTAGATAAAAAAATCTCTCTAGGTCTCCTCTCCCAGGAATCACCAACAAGTGGTATGTTACAAGTCATAAATAGTATAAGCCTACACACAGCAATTTATGAGAAAGTAAGCATAACTTTGTCCTTTCAGGGATTTCAGTAAATTTTGCCTCAAATCTCCATGAAAATCAGACATTCAGATTCCTCCAGAGGTGACCGAACACATGAACCAGACATAATCCTAGACTGAGGTCACCACTCTAAAAGGTACAGGATTTTTCTTGCTTCTCTAGACCTCCTCTCTTGATTCATGCAAAGGCATAAAGATAGACAATATTCTAACAAATCCACATATATTAAACACCACTCAAGTCCGTAATTAAAATTATTCCTAACATTATACTAACTAATGAACCATCTGGTGCTGATCAAATATACAGTTGAAGGACACTTCTGGAGCCTGAATTTCTGAATAAAGACTCTGATTGTTACATAACTACACCCTTTATTATATACTCTTGATAAGGGGGCCTCAAGGGTTCACTAATGATCTCCAGAGTATAGATTGAAAACCTACACATGCATATATATTATACAAACCATATTTTAAATATTTTAAATAAAATTACAAACAATATTAAAAATTTTCTTCCAAACACTCAAGTCCAACTTGCCAAAACAGAACTAATCTCTACATTAAGGAGTTAGCCCAGGGAGGCGGCTTCTCTTGACATATTGGAGACTACCCAGGGCTGTTCATTTGCCTGACTCTGTCCTATCTTCTCATTCCTGGGGATCTGTGAGGTTTAACTCTCTGTAAAGAATCAAACGGTGGGAAAAAGAGAGCAAAATTTCATCTGTTATTATAGTACATGGTTGAACTTGAGCCCTTGGCAGATAACTCTGAAAAGAATGGGAATATCTCTTTTACTCATTGGCTATTTCCCCAAGACATATTGTTAAAATAAATGTTTATTTCATCCAATCTGTAGTTGGATGGTGCAGTTCACAAACCTGCAAGTCAGATAATCTAGGCTGGGCTTGGGTAACTCAACTCCATGTGACATGTCTCATTTGGGACCCTGGCTGAAGGTACAACACCTGGTGAAAGCTTTTCTCATGGTGATATCTGAGGTGGAAGAAGGAAAAGAATAATTTTATCTAATTCAGAAGTTATCTAGAAGTTAATTCAAATTATAAACTTGAAAAAGGCATTTATGAAACAAGGTAGTAAGGAACCAGTAAGTCGGGAGAGAGATGTAAAGAAAGTTATATATATGAAGATTTTTTGTAAGGAAGGCTATAAAGGAAAGATAATCTTTGATGAGAAAATACTTTGTAGGGTAAATTTTTTTTGTCCTGGGGTAAAATGACTGGTTATTTAAAGAAAAAATAAGAGGAAGAAGAAGAAAATCTGGGACTGAACAGAAAGCCTAGGCATGTTGTGGACAGTCTGTGTAAGTCACATGTAGTTTTTACTGTTTCTCTGTGTGTGTATCTTCATGAACCAAAGAGAAAATAGAAAGTTGAAACAGTTTAGATAATAAAATATTCTTTAAAACCTGAAAAATTGGAGAAATTTGGCTAACTTTTTAAAAATTTGCCTAATTAACATTTTCGTATTTAAAGCTCTTAGTCTTGATGAAGATAAAATAAGAAATATTGTAAAGAAATGCATTGGCAGTTTTGCATTTTTTAAAATATAGTTAATCATGAAGCCAGATGTAGTGTGGAACCAAATTTCATACACATGCTTGCATTGCTTCATACTATATATAGTACTATTTGCTATTTTGCACAGACAGTACTAGCACTAAAGTGCTTACTGGTCATGTACCTAAAGTGAATTTCTTAATTGCAAAAATATGTATCATTATATTGGTGGACCTAAAAATATTAAATTGTGTTTCAGGAATAAAATGTTATCTTTTTTAATAGGCTCTGGGTAACACTGTAGCATCCAAGGTAAACTTAGTAGGAGAAAAAATTGAGGTGGGTTTCCTGTTTGCTTTTACTTCTAATTTTTTATTTATTTGCCATTTGTTCTGCTTTGAGTTTTACTTATGTATACATACATATAAACCATTGACTTTTTTTAGTTCCTAATGGAAGACTTTTATTTGGTTCTGTGAATAGTTTTTGTTTCCTATGCATTTCTAACAAGTCATCATTTGTTTTATTTATCTAGAATTCCTAAGCTACCTCTGTCAAGCCTGCAAAAACTGATGGAGCACACCAGCCACTTAAAATTTGATTTTCCTTACCTCTGATAATCTAGAGAGCTACAAGAGCTTTAAGTTTCCTAGCCAAAAAAAAGAGAATTATTATAAAAAGTTCTGAACAGAAATAAGAACATTATATATTTTGTTATTTGGAAAAGTGGATGATAGTAGCAGTGCTTAAATGGTGTTTAGTTAGTTTTAGATATTTTTCTTTAATGAGGAAAAATTGTGATATGGATACAAAGTTTTAATGTTCAGGAAAGATTGGCCTTGTCCTTAAGACAATTATATTAATTGGAATTTCTCTCAAACTACCTTAGTTGTGTTTACTATTATTAAAATTAAATGGCATTCACTTGGATTAAGTAGTAATTTAAAAAATGTGAGACTTTCTAGTGATCTTTGATCCCAAGCCGTTTATCACTGATGGGCCTTCATGTGTGCACTTGAAAACAAAATATGTATAAGTGTTGCACTAGTTTGAAGATTTTGGTAGCCAAAGTTACCTCATCAGTTGTCAGTACTGTATCTAGAAACCAATCTTGGAAATGTGTGATGATACTCTTTTAAATAGGTGAAAAGAAATTATTGTGTGCTGGTTCTTACTTTGTCTCTGTTTTATTGTCTATTACTTAAGTGAAAGATTACCTTCATATTGAACTTTCAGAACTAATATTTGCATTTATCATTTTTTGATGGAGACAAAAGTTAGTTGTCTTCCTTTCATAAGTTTGGCATACAACATATCACTTTTTGATGCTTTTAGTCACAGTCTGTCACTAGAATGCTGGCAATTAGACATGTGCAATGAGTAACCTAACTACTTGAATACAGTGATTTGAAGTGTTGCAGGCAGTAACTCTTAAACACCAAATCACAATGTTTTAATTTTGAACATATTAGAAAGAATGTTAGGACATTCTGTAATATAAATATTCTATTAACTAATTTTTGTGCTGTTATGTTACAGGGCTTTGACTCCTGGGTCTGAAGGAGGCACAAACCCCTGCTAAATTTTGAGCATTGATACCAGTTGAAGCCTCATCTTTAGACTCATGGAAGAGTGACAATCAACATGAACTGCTTTTGTGAGACAGAAATTAAAACTATTCAGTCCCTCTATACTCAGGGACTATTATAGAAGAGGTGGGCACATGAGATTGCAAGGGCCAATTTTGAGGAATAAGATTAGTTCAGAGTTTTTCTATATGTTAAACATTAATATCAAAAGCACCCTAATAGAAGGCCAGCATCTGGGCCCATGTGTCAGAATAATAGGGTTTTCTTGGATCATGCTCTTTAATAGAACATTGTAAAATGTTATAAAAGGTTGATGGAAATCTTACCTTATGGTCAAACTGATTAAAATTAGATAAATTTTTATAAGGTTTTATTAAAATTAGCTTTAACATTAATACACCATACAAAGGTAAAATATGGTTTTTCTCTTTTGTACAAAATTTTTCATGTAAGAGATAGTATAAGAGTTTTGTTTACCTTTGGAGTAAACTGCAGAGGACAAATTGGGGGAAAGAGACAGATATAGCTGGCCTCAAGCTGTATTTATTAAGTAGCATTGTTTAGGAAACTGAGTCTCCTCTTTATCAAAGAGTAAATATTTTTGTATTATCATTTTGGCTAAATGAATGACTATTTTATAGTAACCTGTAACCTTATTTTTAATATCAAGTGTCTTAAACTTTTGATATTTGTCATACTTTTCAAGAGCAAAATTTAAAGTTCTAAATTCAGTCTTTTTTACCTAAAACTATTTTTTGAATGTTAGTATCCCTGAAGTCCAAGAGAGATATATTATGCTTATTAAGCTTATTTGTTATGTTAGGATTATACAGGAATCATTATTAAATGTGAGATGGTACTTAACTTTTTTTGGCTATATTTATATAGATATGTTGTTAACATGTGTTTCAGGATTATATGACATTCCTGAAATTCTGATACGTATGTATGTTATTGGTAATAATTATGATTATTATGTTAAATTGTTGTATACCATAGAAATAACCAAATTTTATTGTCAACTGTGTCTTTGACTATGGCTGTCCTAAGACATTTGTCATCCATAACTGATGTTTTGCTTTGATCCTTCTCAAAAAAGTGATTTATAATCAGCTACTGTCTAGAGCTTGCTTTTTCAGGGGAATTCTTGAAAAGGACTCTTTAGCGTGGGTTTCTGATAACATTGGAGATTGTGCCATTGGATTAGAGAGCAGAGTGCTAATTGAAAGGCTGATATGTTCATAAAGGTTGCTAATCAAATATGAAGCAAAGCAGGAGTTAACTGTGTGGACTGAACTAATGGAGGACTGAAATCATTTGTATAGCCTTTTTGTTTGAAATATTGCTGATTCCTTTTGTTTTATGTTTCAGAGTCTGGGGAATTGTTTTCTTTATGCTATTCATAGCCTTAAAATACTTTAAGTGTACTGAGTAGAGTATATGTTTGTAAACAGAATTTGAGTCATATATTTTTCTCTCTTGGTCCAATTTATCCAGAATTCATTAATCATTTGTGAAATTCTTAATTCATGGCAATGTATTTATTTGCATAAGTTTAATAAGAATCTATTTTCTCGGCCGGGCACAGTGGCTCATGCCTGTAATACCAGCACTTTGGGAGGCCGAGGTGGGCAGATCACGAGGTCAGGGGATGGAGACCATCCTGGCTAACACTGTGAAACCCCGTCTCTACTAAAAATACAAAAAAATTCGCAAGGCATGGTGGCGGGTGTCTGTAGTCCCAGCTACTGGGGAGGCTGAGGCAGGAGAATGGTGTGAACTCAGGAGGCGGAGCTTGCAGTGAGCTGAGATCGCACCACTGCACTCCAGCCTGGGCGATAGAGGGAGACTCCATCTCAAAAAAAAAAAAAAAAAGAGAGAATCTGTTTTCTTGTATAATGGGACACAGTTGGAGGAACTGGTTATTTTTCCAGGGCTTTGACTGGAATGGCCTTGTGAGAGGTTCCAGCAAAGCCAGTTTAGCAGAACCTATTGGGCAATGATTACTGTTGCACTTTGTGTGGGTAATCAGGCCAAGCATATGGGACTGAAGCTAATTTTGCAGGTAGTTTGGTTCTGCTGCGATTTGTCTTTGGTGGAAGTGGGAGACTGGAGAGAGAAATACTCTGTTTCAGAAGAAAGCTCTAGTATTAGATTAACCTTTGATTCCTGAGTGGCCACGTGGTCACCTATGGTATTGAGATGCCTACAACACCCCTCCCTCAGCATGAAGCAGCCAGAAAGATCAAGACCAGATTCCCCATGACTAAGGAATTTATAAATAGAAAAGAGGGACTGAAACTGACACAACAGTTCCATAGATAATTTGTTTTTATTTTTGTTTTTTAATAAACATAGAAATCGACCCTTCTGTTCTTAAAGCTTGAAAGTTATATTTATTTTATCTGAGGTCTTTCCTCAAGAAATGATCCTCAGGCCTCTCAAAAAAGTATCAAAGAACTAAAACTCACCAGATCATTACATCCAGACCATGAGATACTGGACTTCTCATTTATCATGATTACTTCCTTGCCTCTCCCTATTTTCTATTTTTCTTACACATTGTTACATTTCTTCCCCGCTATATAAACCCCCTAATTTTAGTCAGTCAGGGAGACGGATTTGAGAATGAGCTCCCATCTCCTTGGCTGCAGCACCCAATTAAAGCTTTTTTCATTGGCAGTAGTCATTGTCTCAGTGATTGGCTTTCTTTGTGGCAAGCAGTAGGACCTAGACCAGACCTCTGGTGTTTTGGTAACACTAGTACGGTGGTTTTTGAATTATGATGCTTAGGCCAGTAACGACAGTATCACCTGAGAACTGGCTGGAAAAGCAAATTACTAGGCCTCATTCGACTTGCTGAATTAAAAACTCTGGAGGTGAGGCTTAGGAATCTGTGTGTTAATAAATATTTTGATGATTCTGATGTATTCTAAAGTTTGAAACCCACTGTCCTAAGCACAAAATAGCACAATAGCTGGCATAGAGTAAATGAAAAGCCTGAAGAAATGAAAGTTGCCATAACTGTTACAATACTAATACCGTATAGCTGAATTAATAAAGAATGAAGTTAAGTGTTAAGATTTTTAACCACTGTTTCCTCCTGTAAATAACTGGACAATAATACCTGTAGCCAGTATATAGGGAGAGGCAGAGAGAACTCCCTTTGAACATAAGAAGAAAAGCAATTGTCTTCTGAATGTTTTTCAAAGACACACAGTAAAGATAATATGTGTTAATTAACGGTGGAGCAGGTCAACAATTGAAGTGTAGAACAAGGAGAGGCAAAGTTTGGCAATGATTATCAAAGCTATTTGCAGTGAAGGTACCATTTTGCCTAATGAATTTGGCTAATTATTAAAGTCCCAGTGGCAAGTCTATTACTTTTGTAGACTTTCTGAAATTGATGCATGCCATTAAGTATTCATAATGTATAACTGCCTTTCTGTGTTCTGATCATTTTTATTTGCTTTCTCATGCATGTCTATGTACTTGTTACTTAAATGCCAGGGGTTCAGTCTAGGTACTGTTGCTCACACACAGAAAGCCAATTACTAAGTCAACAAGTATTGCCAGGAAAGAAAGCTGTATTCAGGTGCTGCAGCCAAGGAAAATGGGAGATCAGTCTCAAATCCATCTTCTCAACTGACTAAAATTAGGTATTTCTATAGCAGGGAAGAAATGTAACTATGTGTGGGAAAATAGAAATTATGGAAAGACAAGGAAGATGAGTTGGTCAACAAAAAGCAGGTTGTAGATTAGGCAATCAGGATGGATAACGAGTCTGATGTGTCATTGTCCAGATGTGGTGATTTGGTTAGCTTCAGTTCCTTAATACTGTCTGGGAGGACTGATGGTTTGTTTCCTGAGAAAGGAGCTCAGTTAAGACAAATTTAAGTTTCTCAAGTTTTAAGACCGGCAGGGTCAAATCTCTATTTTTACTATAAAGAAACCATACACATCAGTTCTAAGGGACAATTGGATCAATTGCATACTGATGACTGCTCAAACATCCCCCTTGACTACTCTAAGAGGAACTCAAGTATCAAATCCTCCCTTCTCAAATGTCAGTTTCTTCTGCCTAGAATGGGCAAGTAAAAGTTTGTTCTTGCTTTTATTTTGAGTTGTACACTTAGAAGCCTTTTTTTCATATTTAGCTTCATAACAACCCTATAAGTACTGTTATTATCTCTATATGAGGAAACTGAGAATCAAAGATGTTAAATAATATTATTAAGTACACAGCTAAAAGGAAAATCAAGACTTAAACATAGGCCAAGGAAGCAGTGGGACTCATGATTGAAGTAAAAGGGCAATGGGCAGGAAGGAATACTAATTTAGGAAGGTGCAATAGGAACTTAAGACAAGTAGAGCCAACATGAAAGCAACAGGAGCTTGCAGATTGGAGAGTTTGCTATATTTAAAGTGACCATACCTAATTTGAGATGTTTTCTTTTTCATTTTTCAAACCTAGTTTGGTCCATATTTGACAGATATTTGTTCATTTGAAACAAAGGAAAAGTCTATATCAATGATTTCCAATGGTAGTTGTATCACCCCAAGGAAGTATTTGGGAAATATTGAATGACATTTTTGTTGCCAGAATGATCAGAAGGCACTGTTAGTATTTAGTGGGAGGAATCATTAATGTTCTTCATAGGACAGTGTCACACAGCAAATACTTCTCATGTTCTCTGCAAAAATTTTAATTATCTCACTGGATATTCTTATAGGCGACTATCCAGTCTAGAAGTGAATAAATTCATTTTCAAGGGAAGATTGAGCACAATAGCTCATCTTTAGAAAATCATGTAATCTGTGACTACACTAAACATAATTAATACCAAAACAGCGCAGCTGTTTCAGGGAACATTTGTATATATGATTTAAGAACAATTCTGAATACAGTCATCAGGACTTCTAGTGTGGTTATGCTGAGGACAAATATATATTATTTTTATTATGAATTTATTTATATTTTTACATTTCACTTAGGGTATTAGCATACATGCATAATTACGTTGAAGTAAGATTATATTACTTAATAATTTTTCCAGGGTGGTAAAATATATGTTTTAAAATTGGAGCATTAATTCTGATGCGGTTGAAAACCAACTCTCTCTAAGATACTCTGATAAACATCATTATATCCGGAAAATATCTTTATGTAATTGCTATTGTTAAATCATAATTTTGTACAAATAATTTTTATAAGGAGAAAGTCAACTCTGCAAAATATTTTTTAAAATTCTATATAAAGACATAAATTTATACAGTCTAGTATTTGTCTGTCAACAATTTGCTTCGGAATTGAGGTTTGTATTTATTAGATTAGAATTACTTTTCCTATATTTCCTGTATTTCAAGTTCAGTCCATGGATACTTTGTTTATACTTGAAGAAAATTTTAATCTGGCAACCCACCAGTAACTAATAGTTAGAACTTTACATGAAACATATCCATTTATACTCCAAGAATTACCATACACATGCTTCCAAAACACAGAGGTGCAAATTTGTCTGAAGGCCTGCCATTTAACAAAGTGAAATCAAAGTAATCTTTGCATGGTAGAAGACAAACTAAAATGTGTGAGGGAGAACTCCACTCTTTAGACCCTCAAATTCTCAGATTGCAGGCTTGGGTCTAATTCTCTGGTGGACATTGACAGGATAACCTCTTCACCAGCTTTAGGTGCAAAAAGAGGGTTTATGTAAGGTTTTGGAATCCTGCAGAAAATGACTTAATTTCCTTCTTCTTACATATGTATTACTCTTCAGATCACTGTTTTATAGTGACACATGTGAATTCTCACAGGAAGGAGCAAAGGAAATACTTGTTCTGAAACAGATGATTAGGAAAAATCAGACAGCATTTGAAACATGAACAGGAACAAGATCTTCTAAAATAAGTAAAATAACACTAATACTTTGCTCATTGCTGAGCAGGAATTATATCAGAAAAGAACATCCATGTGAAAGTAAGAGAGTGACATACAGCAAAACACTTCTAAGCTTTTTTTTTAATAGCAAGTTTAAGTTTAGGTTCTCAAACCTGTTTGCACAATAGAGTCACCTAGGGAGCTTTGAGAACTACCAATGCCTGGTCCCCAAACACAGAATTCTGATGTGACTGCTTTGAAGTAGGGCCTGCGTATCAGTATAAGCTCCATGGGTGGCCCTACAATTCAGCCAAGTCTAACAACCACTGACTAGTCGCTTCATCAGTATCCTTATGGCTCTGCCAGTACACACCTATGGGTGATTAGTACTAATTTAAGCATTTGCTTTGATTAAGTTCATAGTTTTACTGTATACCTTGGGGCTATGTCATTGTTTTTTTTTTTTTCTAATAGCAATAGTATTCTTTTTCTCTCTTTCTCTCTCCCTCCCTCACTCCCTTCCTTCCTTCTTTCCTTTCTCTTTATTTCTTCCTTCCTCCTTTCTACCTTCTTTTTTTCCCTTTCTTCCTTTCTCTCCTTCCTTCTTTTCCTTTCTTTTTTTATTTAACTAATATTAAGTGTTTTGTTGTTAGTGGTAAAATGAAAGTTACTGTGTTAAGCTCTGGGGAAATAAAATTTAACAGGCCCTACTCCCTGTTCCTGAGGTGGTCACAATCTAAAGTTCTGAGAGATGGACAGAGGTGAATTAGGCTATAGTGTTCAAACCATATCTTAAGTCACTACACATATTAAGCCACCCTCTGGATAACAAATACAGTCATCACGTTTTGTCAGGGAAACTATACAAGTTTCCATGTCCTGTCTTATTATCTTCATAACACACCTTGATTGGCATTCTTTTATTTTTAACCTAAATTTTTGATAATTCTTGGCAAAGAAGAAAACATTTAATACATAACAAAGTAAAACTCCGTGCCTGTATCTGTGATTTTAGGAAATAATTTAGTAGTATTACGAGATTTTCTTCAGGCAATGCAGACTCCTCTCAATTAATTTGAAATTAAAGGTTGTGTCATGTACTTTGAAAGAAGAAGTTATTCTTAGATCTTTACTGAGGCTATATGTTACATATATTAGTTAAATGTCCAGAATATGTGAGAATAGTTATTTTATTTCATGAATGGGCACCTGTGCTTCTTTTCTCTATCAGTGCTTTTTAGTTTTATTATTTATTAACTCTTGCCATTCCTCTTCTCTCTCTATTTGCTCATCCCACAAATATAGAACTCCTTTGAAATTAAAAACAGAAGACATTAAAAATTATATGTGAAGGCACCAATGCATATGGAAATTTTAGATAAGATGAATCTGGGGTAGGGTAAAAGCAGAGGTCTAAGACGGATGAGATGTTGGGAGTAGATCTTTCTGCAGAACCACTTTCAGAGCAATACAGAAAACTGAGTACTTTCAGGCCTTGAACTATACTCTCTTACATTTTCTATAGGGAAAGAAGACAAATGTTTCCCTCCAGAACCACTGTTCTGATACATTCTCATATGCTGGAGCAAAGCTAAGGTCATTAGGCAGGGGATTGGAATTGCTGATCCAATTGTTCTCAGCCATTCCCTAAAGAAAATTATTAAAATATATATATATATATATATATGTATGTATCCTGGAAAGAGTCCTGTGAATATTTTTAAAATTTATACATAATATTTTACATATTTATGGGGTAACATGTGGTTACTTTTTATATCCATAGAATGTATAATGGTCGAGTCAGGCTGTTTGGGGTATCCATCACCTTGAATATTTATCCTTTCTGTGTTGCTAATAGGTCAAGTCCTGAGAATTAAGTAAACGAAGACATTTAAAACAGATAAAATAATAGTTAACATATTCTGTGTTCTCAAAAAATGCCAGATGTTGTTTTTGTTGTTATTAATGTTGTCCTTGTAACCGTATCATTTGGGAATATCTGCCTGAGAGGAATAAGAAGGTGTAGCTTATGAACCTCATCATAATGTTTAAATGTATCATTTAAATCAATGATATTTTGTGTCATTGATTTTACAGTTCATCTAGGGCCATATCCTCATGGTACCTGCACATATTACTGCAATTACATGTAACATAGCTCTCAGTAAACTAAACACATTTCCATTTGTTTAATTGAGAATCAAAGGCCTTTTCCTTTAAATATGACTAAGGTCTATCTGAAACAAAATTTTCTACAATTGTCAGCATTTTAGAAATTAATTCCTTAAAATTCACTCAGAATTACTAAAACAAGTGAAGTTTTTAGTTATTAGTGCTGTACCAATGTTAATTTATTAGTTTTTGATAAATGTATTATAGTTATGTAGTGTGTTAACCATTAGAAGAAACTGGGTGAAGAGTATATGGCAACTCTGGACTATCTTCACAGATTTTCTATAAATCTAAAAGTATTTCATGTCTTTTGCCCACTTTTTAATGGAGTTGTTTGTTTTTTGTTTGTACATTTGTTTACTTTCCTTGTAAAGTACGGATATTAGACCTTTGTCAGATGTATAGTTTGCAAATATTTTCTTCCATTCTGTAGGTTGCCTGTTTACTCTATTGATAGGTTTTTTTGTTCTGTTTTGTTTTGTTTTGTTTTGTTTTGTTTTGCTGTGAAGACACTCTTCAGTTTAATTAGGTTTCATTTGTCAATTTTTGCTTTTGTTGCAATTGCTTTGGATGTTTTTGTCATGAAATCTTTGCCAGTTCCTAGGTCCAAAAAGGTATTTCCTAGAGGAAATATATGTGGCCAAAATACACAGGAAAAAAATGCTTAACATCAATGCAAATCAAAACCACAATGAGATATCATCTCACACCAGTCAGAATGGCCATTATTAGAACCTCAAAAAATTACAGATGTTGGTGAGATTGTGGAAAAAAGGAGCACTTTTTCTACACAGTTATTGGGTGTGTAAATTAGTTTAACCATTGTGGAAAGCAGTATGGCGATTCCTCAAAGAGCTAAAAACAGAACTATCATTCAACCCAGCAATCCCACTACTGGGTATATATACCCCAAGGAATATAAATCATTCTACCATAAAGACACATGCATGGGTATGTTCATTGCAAAACTATTCACAATCGCAAAGATATGGAAGCAACCTTAATGCCCATCTATGGTAGACTGGATAAAGAAAATATGGTACGTATATACCATAGAGTACTATGCAGCCTTTAATAGGAATGAGATCATGTCATTTGTTGGAATATAGATGGAACTAGAGGCCAGTATCCTTAGCCTACTAACACAGAAACAGAAAACCAAATATCACATGTCCTCACATATAAGTAGGAGCTAAATAGTGGAAGTGTATAGACAAAAAGAGGGGAACTACAGACAGTGGGGTCTACTTGAGGGAAGAGGTTGGGCAGAGGGAGAGGTTCAGAAAAAAATATTGTCAATAGTATGTTTAGTACCAGGTGATGAAACAATCTGTACACCAAACCCCTGAGTCATGAGTTTACCTATATAAAAACCTGAGCATGGGCCGGGTGCGGTGGCTCACGCCTGTAATCCTAGCACTTTGGGAGGCCAAGGCGGGTGGATCAGTTGAGGCCAGTACGTGACCAGCATGGCCAATGTGGTGAAACCCTGTCTCTACTAAAAATACAAAAATTAGCCGGGCATAGTGGCCTGTAACAGTAATCCCAGCTACTCAGGAGGCTGAAGCAGGAGAATTGCTTAAACTCAGGGGGGCAGAGGTTGCAGTGTGCTGAGATCGCACCACTGCCCTCCAGCCTGGGCAACAGAGCGAGACACCGTCTCAAAATAAAAAACAAAAAACACCGGAGCACGTACCCCTAAACATAATTAAAGTTAAATATTTTTCAAAAGTATTTCAAAATAAAAAGTATTTTTAGAAAAAAAAAGCACATTCTGATTTTGTTCCCAGCCCCTGTGCCTGACATAAATATTCAATAAATAAATGTTTATGGAATAAATTGAAGTATATTTTATTTTTTTTTTTAATTCACACTCCTCTCCCTCTTTTCTCTTTTTTTGGGAGGTACTCCCTACCTATTCTTTTGATCTCTGAGAGACAAGAAGGTAGGTAATCATCCAGTGCCTATCAGGACTCAGGATGGTTCACTATAGCACCCTCCACCACCAAAGCTTGGTATATAAGTTTGGGTTTTAAAACCACACACACAGATCCAAATTTTAGCTCCAACTTTTTTTTTTTATAAATATGGCAACACATTCAACCTCTCTGAGACTCAGTTTGCACTATCTATAAAGATAGGAATTGTATTTGCTTAGCAGAACTGACATGAGAATCAAATAAGATATCAAATGCTTGGTACATAGTAGGTAACAAAATAATTGTTAGTTTCCTTTCTTATGTGTTTTTTATCGATTCCAGAGAGGTGACTTCATCCCTGAGGAGGAGGAATGACTGTTATTTATTATGAAGCTGGAACATGACAGCATGAATCTTTGGGAAACACTGGCTTTTTCTGCCCAGCATCGCAAAGGGAATGTCAGTCTTTCAGCATACCCAAGTATTTGTGTCCAATAAGGAAAACTAGTCAAGCAAAATCAGAAGAGTCTTCAGTGCTCTTGGCCTCTGTTTGTCCATTCATTCATTCATTCATTCATTCATCCAAATTCTCTCCACTTGAATGTCTGCTGTGTGCAGACAAGGGGCTATGTGCTGGGACTAAATGATGATCAAACAGACTTGGCCACTGCCCTCACAGAGGTTGCAGTGTAACCTCTGTGATATAAGACTTGTGCATCCCTCTCCCAAATTTATATGTCAGAGGCCTAAGCCTTTGTACCTCAAAATGTGGAAGTATTTGGAGATAGGGCCTTTAAGTAGGTAATTAAGTTAAAATAAGGCCATTGGGTTGGACCCTGACCCAATCTGCCTGGTGTCCTTACATGAAGAGGAAACTTGGACACACAATGAAGCACCAGGAATGTGTGCAGAGGAAAAGCAATCCAGGTATAGAGAGAAGGTGTTATCTACAAGCCAAGGAGAGAGGCTTCAGGAGAAGCTAAACCTACCAGCTTGATTGATCTTGGACTTCTAGCCTCCACAACTTTAAAAAAATAAATTTCTGTTGTTTAAACAAACAAACAAAAAAGCAAAACAAACATGGGCAGAGATTCATCTAATGATTTGGGACAATTTTAAAAATACAGATTCCTAGGCCTCGTGCCAAATCTAATAAATTCAAATCTCAGAAGTGGGACATAAGATCCCTATTTTTAGCAAGACTCTCGGGTGTTACTTGTTCTTATCAAAGTCCCGGAGGCATCACCTTGTTTAAGATAATTTAATTCTATTAAAAAGAACCTATTTTCTCAATTCTCCCAAGGATGCCGGCACCATTCTAGATACGTAGGAGAAAACTTTATCCTTTACATACAATTACTATCTCAAGGCCATAGGGCTTAGTTATTTTGAGAAATACTCATTGAGATTGGGTACTATAATGCAAAATATATGACATAGTAATCATTTTTAATGAATTATCCAAACAGTAACAATATTAAAGTTACTAACCAGCATTTTGATTTTGGCTTTGCTATTAACCAGACATATATCCATGGGAAAGTCACCAAACCACTTTTAACTTATCTTGCCTTCTGAAATATCAGTGAAATTAACAAATGGCCATGAATACATTTTCTAAATGTAATCACTTGTAAAATGGGAGAAATAAAAGTAATTGTCTCAACATGCTTTAAGTTCCAAGTTACATAATGGATAATAGTGTTTTTCTTAAAATCCTATTACATAGTAAGAGTCTAATAATTGTTGTGTATTATTTTTGTCTCTTATTTATGCTATAGTTCTGCAAAAGATATTTGGTACGTTAAGTCTGCCCAGGAGTGACTATTACATACTAAAACCAGAAAGTTATCTTAGAAGTGGTAACTAAGTTTTTGTTTTTCAAGTTAGATATACCTGCCTGTTTTTGTTTCCGTGCTTTTTGTCAGACAAGGCCAAAAGTTAGAGCTTCCAAGACAATAATAAACTTTCTCATCAAGTTCAAAACTCTCAAAACAGATTAAAACTACTCTCTCCCTACCTATATATTACAATACTCACAGAACTTTGATGTTTATCATAAAGACCCTTATTTTTGGTGTTTTGTGTCAATTTTTTCTCTTCCCATGATAAAGGCACATTTGTACCACCAAGTGGGCCTTGTTTTCAGTTAAACAAAAGAGCTCATGTTATGTCCTTGATGTCTGTCTTCAGTCTCACAGCTGTATAAAATGCTGACTATGTCAAAGCACATTATCAGAGCTTTGATAATTAAGTAAAAAATGTTCAATAGAGTTGTCACCTACTCTTATTTGTTTGCTTTGTTTTAAATATTTGGATAGCATCAGAGTCAGAGTTCTCTACAACTAGAGTCAGAGTTCTCCAGAAATAGAATCAATAGGATGTGTATATGTGTAGAAAAAGATTTATGGTAAGGAATTGGCTCATGTCAATTTGGTGCCTAGCAAATCCGAATCTGAAGTGTGGGCCAAAGGTTGGAGACTCAGGAAAGCCAATGGTGCAGATGAAGTCTGAAGGCAGTCTGCTGGAGAATTATATTGCTCCAGGACGCTGGTCTTTCTGTTCTATTCAGGCCTTCAACAAATTGGATGAGGCCCACCCACATTATGGAGAGCAATCTGCTAACTCGAAGTTCACTTATTTAAATGTTAATCTCATTCAAAAACACCCTCCAAGTTGACACAAAATTAACCATCACAGATGGTATGTAATAGAAAATACAATGTGCAACATCTATTTTAAAGCAATATGTAACACACAATTTTGTAATAGAAAGCTTTAGATTCCTTAATTCTTATTTCTTGTTTTATTCTTGACTTTTTGCATGATGAAGATCAAATCATATGCACTTTTGAGAGTCCTGAGATACAGAGGAATATTTAAAGTTAGTGGCCTGAGAATGAGATTACTTATAAACACAGAAACAGAAAAGAATAGATCTGGGACCTGAGCTCTAAAACATCTCATCACTTAGAGGTAAAGAAGTCACAGCAAAGTTGACTGAAGCAACAGCAAATGAGGTAGTAGGACAAAATAAGACTATGCAGTGACCTGGTTGCCAAATAGTGTTTCAGGAGGGAAGTGATCAATAGTGTCAAATGCTGTGAAGGTAAAGATGGGGACTGAATAATGGCCACTGGATTTAATAATGTGAGCAGAACTAATAGCCTTAACAGAGCAGTTTCTGTGAGTGGTGAGAATGAGAGAATTGTGTTGCCATCAGACGTTAGGACAGTTGGTCTTACAACTATATATATATATATATATATATATATATATATATATATATACACACACACACACACACACACATATATACACACACATATATATACATATATATACTTTATTTTTCAAGTAAATTTTTGATTCATAAAAAATTTGAGTAGAAAGTACAGAGAATTCCCATATACTCCCTCCCCACCAATGCACAGCTTCTCTTCACTGACAATATCCCACACCAGAGTGGTACATTTGTTACAATCAATGAACTTACATTGATTCATCACCACCTAAATTTCATAGTTTACATTAGGGTTCACTCTTACTCTTGTACATTCCATGGATTTGGATAAATGCATAATCTCCTTTGTAATATCATGCAAAATAGTTTTATTACCCCAACATTTTAGAAAGTATGAACCAGAAATGTATTACTGAGGATTTAGAACATGGGCTGATAGAATGTCATCTATTCATTTTCTCCTTGCTTTTATCATGTTTGCTGTAGTCACACAACCTTCATATATTTCCATGCTTAATCATTCTGCTTGACTTCCTGGCTCATGTGGCTACAGTTTATAAATAGTTTGTTCAAAGTTCTCTAAGAGTAGTCATATGGTTTGGCTCTGTGTCCCCACCCAAATCTCTTGTTGAATTGTAATCACCAGTGCTGGTGGGAGGTGATCGAATCATGGGGTCATAGAATTCTCATGAGATATGCTTGTTTGAAAGTGTGTAGCACTGGCCGGGCACGGTGGCTCACACCTGTACTCCTGGCACTTCGGGAGGCCGAGGTGAGTGGATCACGAGGTCAGGAGATCGAGACCATCCTGGCTAACACGGTGAAACCCCGTCTCTACTAAAAATACAAAAAATATTAGCTGGGTATGGTGGCAGGCGCCTGCAGTCCCAGCTACTCAGGAGGCTGAGGCAGGAGAATGGCGTGAACCCAGGAGGCAGAGCTTGCAGTGAGCCGAGGTCACGCCACTGCACTCCAGCCTGGGCGACAGAGCAAGACTTAATCTCAAAAAAAGAAAAAAAGAAAGTGTGTAGCACCTCCCACTTCACTCTCTTTCTCCCGTTGGCCATATGAAAACATGCTTGCTTCCCCGTCACCTTCCACCATGATCATAAGTTTCATGAGGCCTCCCCAGAAGCAGAAGCCTGTGCAGCCTGCAGTACTATGAGCTCATTAAACCTCTTTTCTTTATAAATTACCTGGTCTAAGATAGTTCTTTATAGCCATGTGAGAACTGACTAACACAACTAGTGATTGGCTCAGGAAAACTCCAGGAGTCTATAGGATGCGTCAGTCAGAAGATGAAATTTTCAGTTGGTTAAGGTAAGACCTATGTATGAATGAGACTCCACTTAATACCAGTGTACTGGTTTAAAATAAAAATCTGACATCAATGCTTTCCTTAAAGGAAGAGGGTATGAAAATATGGTACTGAAACTAAATAATACCAAATAACTTTGAGAATGTTTTTACCAACAATACATTGTATAGGATAATTATATATTTTAGTGCTACGAATAGAATTGAATCTGGAGGTGGGTATTGACTGATGAGTGAAAGGCTCTGAAAGTGGTATGGGATCTCTGGGGTGTCACTTTCCTGATTGGAAACCTCTGTGCAGCTGCTGCAGTAGGGTAGGCAGCTCCAGGTGTGAGCACAGGTGCCGGCTCTATGTAACTCTATGGCTGGATCAGGCACACTACATGCAGCTTCCACAGCTGGCACTGGGGAACATGGTGGCACCTGGAAGCTTGGAGAACTGCAGAGTCCAAAGGAGGGAGTCACAGATCTGGCTCAGGAGCCCCAGTTCTGGGCTACCTGAAGGGCTGCAGCTCTTCTCTCCTCTTCACCCACAATGTGGCAAGCAAGGGGCCTGTCTCAACCCTGTTTGCATTATAGCTCTTTTAGCCTTGCCATTTGGTGGGTTCCAAGTTCTTGTCCTGTGACCAGGAAAAATGAGGTACACAGACAAGTAGAGGGTGAACAAGAGGAAGAGGTGCTTTATTGAGTGATAGAAGAGCTCAGAGGAGACCCGCAGTAGATAGTTCCTTTCCACAGCCAAGGTTTCCTGATAAGTGTTCAGCTCCTAGCAGAGAGGAGACCCTGGAGTGGGAAGCTCCTCTCAGAGGGGAGACCCTGGAATGGGAAGCTCCTCACTGCAGGCAGGTCATCCTGTCGTCTCTGCAGCTCTCAGCAGAGAGAAGGCCCTGCAGTTGGTTGTTCCTCTCTGCAGGCAGGTTGTCTTGTCATCTTTCCAGCTCTCAGCAGAGAGGAGGCCTTGGAGTGGGTAGCTCCTCTCTGCAGCTGGTTGTCCTGACATCTGCTCTGCTCTGCTTGAGCCTGAGGCTTTTATGGGCCTTGGACAGGAGAAAGTGCACACTGATTGGTCCATGGGTGACCACGGGTGGGCCCAGAAAAGGCACCACAAGTTCCCACTCTGCTCTGGGTGACTAGCATCCTGGCCCCCAGTCTTCAGGTTCTCCCTGGCCTGAAGGTAGGACCTCAATGGGTACCTGGCCCCTTCTGCCCAGGAGCCCATACACTTCCTGCTGCAGTCCATGGTGCCCAGGCTTCTTGCCTCAAGGGGCACCTGCAGGCCAGTGCTAAGATGCTCTCAGTCCCCCCTTGGCTCCCTCCAACGGTGTTAATTGGTGCCCAAAGTCTGGAGGGAACTGAGGTGGCCAGGGGCTGGCATGTCAGAACTTCCTCCAGTGTGTGCACCCCTATTTGGTCTGTGATGGTGCCTGGGATTGGCCCTATGTTGCTCTGAGATCAGAGCAGGCATTGACAGTGGAGAGAAGCCAGGCAGTGGGAGCAGGCACTTCCAAGTCTGCAAGGGCAGGAGATGGCTTTCCTGGGCCCCCAATCCAGATTTGGGCGGCTGCACCTGTGCCTGGGATGGTGGGGCTTCTGCCTGCTCTCAGTTTCCACAGGCTCTGTGGAGCACACAGCCCCAGCTGCACCTACTTGCAGCCTGGGGTCGGAGCTCAAGGTCCTCACTAGGCTCAGTCTGGGATCCAGGGCAGGTGCAATATCTGCACAAGCTTCCCCCATTGCCCTGGTGCTCAGGGGTGGCCCGGGGAAGAGCAAATCGAGACCCCAGGCCCAGCAGTCAGGAGTGTTAGCTCAGCGGTCACCCTGACACAGGGTGGACCTCAGGGATGTGGCCCCAGAAGGTCCCACGGAGAGCCTCCTCCCAAGGCACAGGAACCTGGCACCCTTGGCAGGGTGGGCAGTGTGTCTGTGGGCACCAAAAGTGGGCACCACTCCCACTTTCTGCCACGGGCCCCCAAAGCAGGGCCCCAGCTCTGTGCCTGGTGCCTGGCCCCTGCATTCAGTGTGCAAGTGCAGCACCGCCCCGGGCCCAGCTTTGCTTCGGGACCCCACTCTGCCTGACCTCACTGCTCCCCTGTCAGTGGGCAACCTGGCCCCGTCCCATCACGGCAGCCCCCAGGGTGGATGACTGCAGGGATTTGGCCGACTCCTTCCTGTGCCCTCTCTGAAGTGGCCGAGGCTTGCCGCTGCCATCAAAAGGGCATCTGCATGGTTTCTTTTGTCACTGCTTTCTATTGTTCTCTGCTGTCTCTTAGGAGTGCAGCACATTTTAGTCATCCTTTGAAGCTGTGACAGCTTCATGAAAACAATCTATTGAACTGACTGAATTTTATTCTGTCTTCCCTGGAGAATATCAGAGAAAGAATATATCTAAAAACCATTCTGCAACACACACTTAATATAGAAATTAAAAGTTTGATAAAGTAATGAGCAGCTTGGGGGAAGAATGACACATTTGTCAACCTCTTCATGATTCTCTAGGATAGCAATGACATGCATAATTGGTGCTAAGCAGGGAGTGGAGGAGAGTGGATGGAAGAATAATTGATTCTTAATTTATTCCATTGGAACACCTTCAATGCTGTATTTTCCTTAAGTTGTACTAGAAATTTTCTATCATTTCTTTTTGAGTTGTTTAAAAGTCAAATAATTTAAAGAGTGTCTAGATAAATAACTTATAAGACAACAACTATTGGCAGCTTATTTCTCTGGCGGGTTTCTGAGGAGTTGAGTGGTGTGGAAAGAGCATCATCCTTGGAGCAGAAGGCTTGGTGTTGAGAACTCAGTTTGCTACGTGTTAGACAAATTTAACTTGGACAAAGTCTCAACCCTTACTAAGACTCAGCTCTCTCATCTATAAAGTGAAAGTATTTCCCATGCTAATCTCACAAAACTATTATGAGAAACACATGAGGTGATGTGAGAGAAATCTATCTGTACGAGGTAAAGCACCACACAAATACCCATTAAATAGATTTTACATTTTGGTATACAACAAGACAAAAATCTGACCAGGACACAGACCTAATTATCCTAGAACAAAATGAGGAAATTTAATTTAGATAGCAATGGTGCTTATCTTGTAATTTTTGTATTATTATTTCTTCTCTTCAAGGGCAAACAGATGACTTTCTTTGTGTATTATACTTATTCTGTTTGCTAATCTTTAATTTACATTCTCCTAAGGCAACAGTTACCTAACCTCTATAACTCATTGTTTAGACAACTGAATGACTTTCTTTCATCCTTGATTTTCTAATACTATCAGTACAATGTAATTGATACACAGGGTTTGAGAAACAGTCTACTAATCAATGATAAGTCATACCAATAGTCACTGCCATTGTGTAAGGGAAGGTGATGCTTTGCCAAAATCCCTTGAAAGAGAAAAAGATACAGGGTTGGGCAACACTTCAAGGATCTTTCCTGCTGATGCTTTGGACTTCAGTCAAGAAAATATTTAAATCAGTCCCTAACACCAATGGTAATTTAATTTTTATGGACCCACAGGGAAAGAGATTATGCACACACACACATATGAGTATAAAAACTTTTCAGTTATAATATTCTAAAGATCGGAAAATTATAATTTTCAAGCCTAAATTATACGAAAATCACAAGGCCATATATATTACTTTATTTTAATGAATATGTTGAAAGTGGAAGAATAGAAAGGGTGCTTTTGAAAAGAGGAAAGAGATCACAGAAATACAATTGAAAATGAATGAAGGGAAACAAAGGGGAGAACATTTGGTTTCATATCACAATGGGAGTCTAGCAGTGATGTGAACAGGAACACCCTGAATTTTCTACTTTTCCTTTCTTTGTACATGCTGTCTTGTGTTTTTGTGGTTCTTAAGTGAGAATGCTTGTCTTCCCCAGAAGTCTGAGCCACAGAAGATTCTAAAGATAGTAGCCAGTGCTCATTATGTCTAGGTCTAGCTCAACAGTGCTGGTGATACTGCTTCTACCTGCATCATAGAACTTGGTTACATTTTTCTTATATTTACATACTTAGAATTGTGCATCTTTGGCTAATCTCTAAACTTGTGGAGGCTGAACAGTGTGTTTTATTCTGTTTATATCCCTTATTACGCTAACTCAGCCTTATGTATATAAAATATTCACAGAAATTTCCTGGAAAAATGGCCTTGAGACAAGATATATCTATGCGGTTAAAATATGAGCTTGGAGATCAACTTTACAGAAGAGGATGTGAAGGAGCCCAGTATTCTGAGGAGAGCCTGCATCAGGATGTCAGGTGATGCTGTGCCCTTCTCTGCATCCTGTCAGGAAGAGGTGCAGAAAGACTGTCTCATTACTGGCAATGTGAACTTAAATCAGGTGGGTAAGTTGCTGTCTGCCACATTCTTCTACTGTAAAGTTACCATTTTTCACATTATGTTAATCTGTATTTTGTGGGGAGATACTTTGAGCCTGGGCAAATATACCTTTTTTGTCATACTCTCTTCTATTAAATTTACCATCCAATGATGATTTTCTGGGTTTTACTTAATAGATATTTTCTGTTTCCATAATTTCATCCTCATTTATTAATAAGAATTTTACAGTTAGCAAGTGCTGTCTCCTAGTCACTATTTATTATATGGTTTGGTTTCAAGAAGGGTGAACATTGGAATGCATCAAACATGTTAGAAAGGCCAACTTTATAAAAATATTGTGTCAAATGCTTGTAATAACTTACTGCCTTTGATTCTCTACATATGTATTAGTGTGTGGGTGTATGAGGGTAGCATATACAGGTGCCTTGGGCACATAGGTCCATTTGCTCTTGAAATCATGATGGACAAAAAAAGAAATTAAAGTCACGGGTTTGATATATCCAAAGGGAAGTACAACTAAATAATGCAGACCTGCTACTGGGTGACATCATGTAACATGATGAGAGAGGCTAATTCAGAATATTGTATCACCACATAGTCAATAGACAAAACAAAACAAAACAAAACCAAGGAACAATTTTGAGGGAAAATTGGATAAATTGTGGGTTCTCAGAAAACCTTTCTTTGAGTTCATTTTTATTTCATCTCTAAAGTAGTGAATAATATTGAGTCTAGGTCTTTCTTCCATAGGTACTGATATGGTTTGGCTATGTCCCCACCCAAATCTCACCTTGAATTGTAACTCCCACAATTCCCACATGTCATGGGAGGAACCCGGTGGGAGATAATTGAATCATGGGGGCGGGCCGGTCTTTTTTGTGCTGTTCTCGTGATAGTGAGTAAGTCTCACAAGATCTGATGGTTTTAAAAACAGGAGTTTCCCTGCACAAGCTCTCTCTCTTGTCTGCTGCCATCCACATAAGATGTGACTTGCTCCTTCGTGGCTTCTACCATGATTGTGAAGCCTCCCCAGCCATATGGAACTGTAAGTCTATTAAACCTCTTTTTTTTCCCAGTCTCAGGTATGTGTCTTTATCAGCAGTTTTACAACAGACTAATACAGGTACCATATTCTAAAAGTATGAATTCATTTCACAAAATCACACTCTAATCATATTAAATGGCTTCCAAATTTAAATGAACGATCTTTGCTTCTTAGAAAAGAATTGTATTATGAGTCTTGGTTAGTTAAGATACAAAAGTACACACTTTCTTATAGTACAAATAGCCTTGGTGTAAAGCCTAACAAAAATTGCCCTCTGGGCTAAAGAATTTTCTCACATTTCTGCCTCGCAATGGCATCAAAATCATATGAGAGTCTTTTTCTGGCCAAGATTGTAAAGTCAATTTAAAAGATTTTGTTACGGTATCATTTTCCCAAAGGGAGTAGTCCTTCTGAAGGTATTACTCCAGATTTCAAAACTGCTAATTGGTGTGGTGCTGTTGGCTAAACCTACCATCAATTATGAAATAAAAATCATATTTGATGAGTTTTTTTAATTCATTCAAAGTGCTTTGAACTTGCTCTAACAGATAGCCACAGTGACAGATAATGTGGATTGGTTACTCAAAAGCTCTTTATCACTCCCTCTGCCTTGAATTTCCCTACTGAAGAGACTAGACAGCTAACTTAAGTCACTAATTCAGCTTCTCTGGAAGCCACAGTAGCCTGATTAAAGTAGTGCTTTGTTTTCTAATTTCCCGCTTTATTGAAGCGTGACTGACAAATAAAAATTGTATATACTTAAGATATACAATGTGATGAATTGATATACACATAAAATGTGAATTAATTACACAATCAAGCTAAAAACATTTGAAACGCCTCACATACATACTTATTTTGGGCATGAGAACACTTAAGATTACTCTCAGCAAATTGTAAGTACAAAATTCATTATTATCAACTATTGTTACCATTGTGTACATTAGATCTCCAGAATTTATTGATCTTATAACTTAAAGTTTGTACCCTTCACCAACATCTCCCCATTTCCCTCACTCATCCAACCCCTAGTAACCACCATTCTACTCTTCTGATTTTATATTCCATATATAAGTGAGATTATACAGTATTTGTTGACCTGTGTTTGCCTTATTTCATTTAGCTTAATGTTCTCCAGTTTCACCCATTTTTACACAAATTACAAGATTTCATTTTTTTTAAGGATAAAGAATGAATTGACAGAAGTAGGCTTCAGTAGCTGGGTAATAATAAACTTCATTGAGCTAAATAATTAGATACAAACACACATACATATTGTATTTATACATACATATGTATACAAAATTTTATTTATTCATTCATCTATTAATGAGCACTTAAGTTTATTCCATATTTTGGCTATTATGAATAGTGCTGCAGTACATCAGAGTGCAGACGTCTCTCCAACATAGCATTTTCATTTCCTTTGGATATATATCTATAATTGGGATTGCTGGATCACATCATAATTTTATTTTTAATTTTTGAGGAACGTCTATATGATTTTTCATAATGGCTGTACCGATTTGCATTCCCACCAACAGTGCACAATGGTTCCTATTTCTCAACACCCTCACCAATATTTGTGATTTTTTGTCATTTTGATGATAGCCATTCTCAAAGGTGTGAGATGATACGTCATTGTGCATTTGATTTGAATTTCCTAATGATTAGTCATGTGGAGCACCTTTTTATAAACCTGTTGGCCATTTGTATATCTTCTTTATGAAAAAACCATTGTGTTCATTTGCCCATATTTTAATTAAATTATTTATTTTTTTGCTATTGAGAGGTATGAGTCCCTTACATATTTTGGATATTAACCTTTTTTGGATGTGTGGTTTGCAAATATTTTTAAAAGCCACACAGAACTAAAATATGTATTAGAATTAGTAGACAAGCATATCAAAAAACTGTTTTAACTTTATTTCACATATTTTAAAGGTTAAGTACAGAAATGCAAGATATAAAGACACCATAAATAAAACTTCTAGAGCTGAAAACTACAATGTGTGAGATGTATACAATAAAAAATACACTGGATTGGCAGAATAAAATGTCAGTAAACTTAAGAACAAACAATAAAAACTATTCAAAATAGAAAACAGGAGAAAATGGAATTTTAAAAATGAAAAGAACATAAGTGAGCTGTAAGAACATTTGTATGTGGCCAAAATGACATGAAATTGGAGTCCCTGAAACGTCATGGAGAGGAATCAGACTACATTTAATTATATACTTTAATAGTGAAATTTTCCCAATTTAAGATTATATAGTCATAAATATAAAAAAGATTATATACTCATAAATATAAAAAATTCAAGAAACTCCAAGTACAAGAAACATTTAAAAATTCACCAAAAAAATTCTGGGGAAAAGCATGGAATAGAGAGCAGCCAGGATGGATTAATAGAAGCAGCTGCACTCTGTGGCTCCCACTGAGAAGGATGAAAACTGCGAGTGAACTCTGCATCTTCAATTGAGGTACCAAAGTTCTCTTACTGGGACTGACTAGGTGGTTGGCACGAACCACTAACAGCGAGCAAAAATGGGATGGAGGAAGGGCCCACCGGGGACGTGCATGGGGCAAAGGAAACTTCCTCCTCTCGACAAGGGAGACGGTGAAGGATTGTGCGTTTCCTCCCTGAAAATCAGACTTTTCCCATGGATCCGTGCAACCTGTGGATTAGGAGGTCCCCTCCTGAGCCCACGCCACCAGAACCTTGGGTCCCAAGCACCAGGCTGTGGAGACTCACAGCAGCTGCTCAGGTGGACGGCCACTTTAAGCAGGCACTGACACACAGGAGTATTTGCATGCTCTGACTCTGGGAACTCCTGTGAGGCAGAAGATCTGTCCACTTTCATGGGGAGGGGGCTGAAGCCAGGGAGCCAAGCAGCCTTGCTCCCACAGAACTCTACAAGCTAAAACACACTGGCTTGAAATCCCCACTAGCCAGCACAGCTGGCTAAAGACTGCCTAAGAAGACTGAGTTCCCAGGGGGATGGGCAGCTGTCATCACCGTGGCTCCAGTCAGCCACTTTCCCCTGCCACCAGTGCCAGCAAGAAGGAGGAGTCTAAATCTATAGCAACTCCCCACAGTACAGCACAGAGGCTGGATCAGTCTGTGGCCAGACTGCTTCTTTAAATAAGACCTGGATCCACTCCTCACTCACTGAGCAAGGCCTCCCTATGGAAATCTCAGCATCCCCAACCAGGGATTTATGGACAGAACTCTGATAACTCTGAGAGGAGACCCTAGGAGGAGGAGCAGCTGTAGTATTGTGGATCAGTGATCTTAGTCTTTTCTGCCTGCTCACTCTGGAGGGTCAGGGCAGCCCAGATGATGGGGATTCCCCCAGCACAGCACGCCTGCCCTGCCACGGGACAGACAGACTGCTTGTTTAAGTGAGTCTCTGATCTCACTTCTCCTGACTGATTGAGACCTCCCAACAGGAGTCTTGAGACACCTCATACAGAAGCATTCCAGCTGGCATCAGGTCAGTGCCCCTCTAGGACAGATCTCCCAGAAGAAGGAGCAGGTTGACATCTTTGCTGGTCTGCAGCCTCCACTGGTGATATCTCCAGGGGTGGAAGGAACCCAGGAGATTAGGGTCTGGAGTAGACCCCAAGCAAACCAGAGCAGCCCTACAGAAGAGGGGCCTGACTACTCCAAGAAAAACAAACACAAAGTAACAACATCAATGAAAAAGACCCCACAAAAACCCCATCCAAAAGTCAGCAGCCTCAAAGATCAAAGGTAGATAAACCAATGAAGATGAGTACAAAATCAACACAAAAATACCAAAAACTCAGAAAGCCAGAGTGCCTCTTTACCTCCAAATGCTCTCAACATGTCTCCAGCAAGGGCACAGAACTGGGCTGAGGCTGAGATGGATGAATTGACAGAAGTAGGCTTCAGAAGTTGGGTAATGAACTTCACTGAGCTAAACAATTATGTTCTCACTCACTGCAAAGAAGTTAAGAACCATGATAAAACATTACAGAAGCTGTTAAACTGAATAACAAGTTTAGAGAAGAACATAAATAATCTGCTGGAGCTCAAAAACACAACACGAGAACTTCGTAATGCAAACACAAGTATTAATAGCTGAATAGACCAAGTAGAAGAAAGGATATCAGAGCTTGAAGACTATCTTGCTGAAATAAGGCACGCAGACAAGATTAGAAAAAAAAAAGAATAAAAAGGAACCAACAAAATCTCCAAGAACTATGGGATTATGTTAACATAAGACAGAACCTATGACTGATAGAGGTACCTGAAAGAGATGGGGAGAATAGAACCAAGCTGGAAAACATACTTCAGGATATCATCCAAGAGAAATTCCCTAATCTAGCAAGACAGGCCAACATTCAAATTCAGGAAATCCAGAGAACCCCCCCCCCACCAAGTAAGATATTTCAAGAGAAGATCAGCCCTAAGGCACATAATCATCAGATTCCCCAAGGTCAAAATGAAGGAAAAAATGTTAAGGGAAGCCAGAGAGAAGGGCCAGGTCACCTATAAAGTGAAGCTCATCAGAATAGCAGCAGACCTCTCAGCAGAAACCCTACAAGCCAGGAGAGATTGGGGACCAGTATTCAACATTCGTAAAGAAAAGATGTCTTCTTTTGAGAAGTGTCTGTTCATATCCTTTGCCCACTTTTTGATGGAGTTCTTTTTTTCTTGTAAATTTGTTTAAGTTCCTTGTGGATTCTGGATATTAGACCTTCATCAGATGGGTAGCTTGCAAAAACTTTCTCCCATTCTGGATGTTGCCTGTTCATTCTGATGCTAGTTTCTTTTGCTGTGCAGGAGCTCTTTAGTTTAATTAGATCTCATTCGTCAATTTTAGCTTTTGTTGCAATTGCTTTTGGTGTTTTCGTCATGAAGCAGAGAGCCAAATCATAAATGAACTCCCACTCACAATTGCTACAAAGAGAATAAAATATCTAGGAATACAGCTCACAAGAAATGTGAAGGACCACTTCAAGCAGAACTACAAACCACTGTTCAAGGAAATAAGACAGGACACAAACAAATGGAAAAACATTCCATGCAAATGGATAGGAATAATCAATATTGTGAAAATGGCCATACTGCCCAAAGTAATTTATAGATTCAATGCCATTCCCATCAAACCACCATTGACAATCTTCATAGAATTAGAAAAAACTACTTTAAATTTCATATGGAACCAAAAAAAAAAAAAAAATCCCGGTTAGCCAAGACAGTCCTAAGCAAGAAGAACAAAACTGGAGGCATCACACTACCTGACTTCAAACTATGCTACAAGGCTACAGTAACCAAAACAGCATGTACTGGTACCAAAACAGACGTATAGAACAATGGAACAGAACAGAGACCTCAGAAATAACACCACACATCTACAACAATCTGATTTTTGACAAACCTGACAGAAACAAGCAATAGGGAAAGGATTTCCTATTTAATAAATGGTGCCAGGAAAACTGGCTAGCCATATGCAGAAAACTAAAACTGGACCCCTTCCTTACGTCTTATACAAAAATCAGCTCAAGATGAATTAAAGACTTAAATGTAAAACCCCAAACCATAAAAACCCTAGAAGAAAATCTAGGCAATACCATTCAGGACATAGGCAAGGGCAAAGACTTCATGAAGATTCTTTTAACTGAAAAGGATATATGGATGGCAGATAAGCACATAAAAAGGAGATTCAACATCACTACATTTCAGAAAAATACAGATTGAGGCAATGATAAGATATTCCTACACATCCATCTAGCATCAAAATAAAATGTAGTGACAATACCAAAAGCCAACAAAACTGTGTAGGACACTGGATTTCTCATATACTGCTGATGGAGATATAAAATGTTACAGCTACTCTGAAAAATTATTTCAGTTTCTTTAAATCTAAACAAACAACTCATACAACCGAGTGATTGTGCTATTGGCAATTTGTCCAGAGAAATTAAAACTTACATGTACACAGAAACATATATATATAATTGTCCAAATAAGCTTTATTTGTAATAATCAAAAACTCAAAAGAGCTCTAATATTACTCAATAGGTGACTGGTTAAAGAAACTGTGGTACATGCATATGGTAAAATACTAATTAACAATGAAAAGAAACGGACTTTTGATACATACAACCTGCATGGATCTCAAGGGTATTATTCTGAATGAAAACAAGCTGGCCTCAAAAAGTAACATACCGTATGATTTCATTTATATAACATTCTCAAAATACCAAAATTGTAGAGATGCAGAGCAGATTAGTGGTTCCCGATGGCTAGGCATGTTGGGATGGTGGGTGTGTCTATAAAGAAATTGCATGAGTAAGATATTTACCGTGAAGTAATACTCCTGTGTCTTGATTTTGGTGGTGGCTATACAGATCTAAACATGTCATAAAATGACATAAAACTATGCACAAACATTTTACCAACATCAATTTTCTAGTTTGAAAATTGTACTCTAATTTTGCCATATCTAACAATTTGGAAAAACTGTATGAAGCATACCTTTCTGTACATTTTTGCAAGTTTCTGTGAACCTACAATTGTTTCAAAAATAATACACAGGAATAATAATATACAGAAGATAAAATAAAATACATAATAATATACAGAATATAACTCTTTTCAATTGCACAGTGGGCATTTACACAAATAGATGATATTCTGAGCCATAAAACAAACCTTGGTAAATTTACAAATATTCAGGTTATACGAACTATGTTCTCTGACCACAATATGTAATTTCTACACTCATATAAAGCTCCAATAATCAACATTGAGTGGAACTGGCATAATGATAGATAGATAGATAGATAGATAGATAGATAGATCGATAGATCGATAGATCTATCAATGAAATAAAATGGAATTTTAAGAAATATACTCACACATATTTCAAAAAATAATTTTTGAGAAATATACAAAGGCAATACAGTGGAGAAGGGAAAATCTATTCAATACATTGTGTGGGCATAAATGGTTATCCATATGCCCAAAGTGGAATTTGATACATACGTTGGGTTACACACGCAGACCTGCACACAAATAGCAACTCAAAATGGATCATACCTAAATGTGAAATCTAAATTGTAAAACTTCTACATGAAAACCACTGTGACCTTGGGTTAGACAAATATGTCTCAGTTATGGCACCAAAGGCATGGTCCACAAAAGAACCAACTGACAATGTGGATGTCATCAAAATGAGAAGTTCATGCTTAGTGAAATACTCCATTAACAGCTGAAAAGATAAGCTACAGACCAAGAGAAATCATTTACAAACCACACATTGAACAAGGGGCTTGCATATAAAATATATAAATAACTCTCAAGAGTAATTGATAAGATATTAAACAATTCAATATAAAAGAGGAACAAATTAGTACAGACACTTGACTAAAGGAGATAGAGGGCGAATAATCCTTCCAGAAATGCAAAATAAAGCTATAAAACCATCACATGACACATCTATGAAAATAACTAAAATACATATTTTTAAAATGATAATACCAAGTGTTGGTGAATATATGCAGGAACTGCTACTCTAATGTGAACTGACTCAACCTCTTAGAAAAACAGTTTGGCAGTTTAAAGTTAAACAGATACCAGTCATATCTGTTTCACTCCTATGTGTTTACACAAAATATATGAAAGTGTATATCTATATAAACATTTGTACATGAGTGTTTACAGCAGCTTTATTTATTATATCACCAGAATTGAAACAATTACAGGGTCCATCAACAGGTGAATGAATAAACACTTTGTTGTATATCTATAAAATTGAATACTACTATAAAATAAAATAAATGTATTATTGTTACATGCCACAACATAGATGAATCCAAAATAATGATGATGATTGAAGGAAACAAGACAACAAAATTACATACCCTATGATTCATTTTATATGATATGCTTGGAATTGCAAACCAATATATAGTGATAGAAAAGTTGGTGGTTACCTGGAAACAAAAGTGGGGTGGGGAGGGAATGATAGATGGGTTACAAAGGGCATGAGAAAACTTTTGGGGGTGATATGTTCTTTATCTTGATATTGCTGATGTTTTCACAGACATATGTCAAAATTTATTAAATTGTAGAGTTTCAATATATGCAATCTATAGTGTATGTCAATGATACTTCGATAAAGCTTTTAAAAAGAAACATTTAAAAAATTAAACCTTTAAGATAATTTAGAGGAGGTTTGCCAACAAAAATCAGCAATGCAGGGACCTCTGAAAATTCAGCAGTTATTCAATAAAAACTGTGAATCTAGAAGCTGATTGTAATTTTCTACTCCTGGAAAATGGAAATGATAATTAGCCCTATAACCCTTATCAGGTAATTAGAAATATGTGCTCTTCATTGCAAATTAATTTCATTTGAGAAGTGAGCTACAAAGATACTTCTATTATTTGAAATGCAGTTTATAGGCTAATCACTGAAAGCACAAATTTTAGCAGGAACAAAGTAATGCTCATATTTGGAAATATGATGATATCTAAAAAGATGAGACCATGTAGAAAAAAAAGAGATACTACATATTAAAATTGTGATATTTATTCACAAAATAGTGTTTCACAAATGGAAAATCTCTGAGTAGAAGAGTGAGAAATGAGAAAAAATAGATATTTGCCTAAGAAAGAATCAGAAAAGGAAGGAGGAAGAAAAGAAAAATATATGCATAAGCCAAATGTTATAATGTTTAATACCAGAGAAAATATATGTTGATGTTTGTTTGAGTTATTGACAAAGCAAATACACTTTACCAAACTAAAAGTTTGTATAAACTATGAGAAATTGTCAATTGAGAAGGTTTTTATGTGTATTCAAATATGTCAAGTCCTAAAAGTATATTAATTCAATAGAAAAACAACTAGCTAAAACTTTAAATTGCTTCATGGGATTGACTAAGTGTACCTGTGATATTTCAGTGTTGTAAGTAGTATGAAAAAGATCATACTAAATATCCTTTTTGTACATATTCATATAGTTGCTCAAAGTGGACATTTCTATCATATGAAGGAGTTAATATATTCATCTCTCAATATGATACAGACCAATTGTCCCAAATAGCTAAATAATCCACAAATTGATCCTCCTTCACAAATTAATTTAGGCACATACAATAGTTTATCTATAATTTTTCAGAAATTATATCTAAATTCTTGCTGTATATAATTTTTAATTGACACAGAAGGCAGAATTGAAAGAGGAAAGTGAACAGAATTTCTATACATAAGAGATAAAAGTGGTATTTATTTCCTTTTTCCACTGGTGAGAGGCTCTTAAAAAGCATTTGAGGTGTGTTCCCCATAGTACTTATAAAAACTTATCCCTGTCCAAACTAAAATATCAGTATTCCTTCTTCATGTAAAGAACAGCAAAGCACATGAAGAACAGAACAAAACAATGGGATATAGGTTCAGGGAGGGCTCTAGTCAACTGTTCACACCAATACTTATTGTTTTATCTAAATAAAAGGTTTATCTTACGTATCTTTTGAAAATGGCACGATGTACATAAAAAAAATCTGCTTTCTCTGAGGCACATACATACTTCTCTGTTTTCCTTTATATATTTCCCTTCCATACAATGAGTCACTATTATTTTTAAAAAACTCATATATTTTAAAAAGTGGTTAAAGGATAGACAACCAATAGAAAACGAATTAGAACAATGATAAGACACCAAATTATTGCCTGGTCAGATTCCATTGAACACAAGAAGTCACATTGTGCAAATGAAGTCCCAAGGGAACAAAAAATGCCACCTCAAAATTCATTTTTCAGAGTTGCTTTCCTTCAAATGTCTTTTTGTGGCATACTTTTATTTGCCTGTTTGTGATCCCTGAAGGCAGCACCTGCTGCACAAATATAAAATGTCCCTCTACTACCACATTCTTCATTTGGTTAGTTATGCAATTACACACACAACTTAGCAACCATTTATTGGATGTGTACTATGAGCCAGGCCCAGGCATCGTACTAACTAATGGGGATATAAAGATGGAAGAAATACAGAAACCAATCTCTCCTCCCCAAGAGTTCCCAGCCTATCTGGAACAACAATTGTGGGGTCATGAAATACAGTTGGTAAATGAAAAATAAGTATGGCTGACTTTTCTTGAACAGTTCCAATGTGAGGCTTACTGCGTTAACCGCTTTCTACATGAACTCAGTTAATCTAGCCAATAGACTGTGGGTGGATACAATCTGGGGCCTCATTTTACAGATAAGAAAATTGAGATTTAGAGAAAGGGATTTGTTCAAAGAACAGATAAACTGTGGAGTTTCCATTGAAACCAGGACACGCTGGCTCCATAACCCATATTCCCAGTCTCTGGCCCAGAGGATAGAACACAAGCCCCATGCAATCCTAGTGTCTCCTAGATATTCATTAAGGAGTCATTCAAGTTCAGTCTACAACAAAAGATTTATTTGGGGGTATAGGGGGCACAAAAATGCTGACAGTGTCTTCCTGGCAGAGGGAGGAATCAATCTAAAAGGGTCTTAGACAACAGCTTTGAAGGATAAAAGAAGTCACTAAATTGTGAGATGAGAGCTTTACCTGGAATGTGGCATGGCATTGGTTGGGGAAAATGGAAGGGGAGGAGGAAATCTGAGCGCCAATAGGTGACTGCTTAGGAACTGGGTCCTAAGCCACTTAACTTTCATCCTGGCCTCACCTGTCCTCAGATGAGGCACTGAAGAGATGGGTATGGCTGCCCCATGATTTCTGCTGCCTGTGCTTAGTAATTTTACCCTTCTTTGGGGTGCTGTAGCTGTAACCGTATCCCATGCTTCTTCGGCTGGTTATCACTGCTGATTTTCCATGGCCCCTGAGGTGCCAAAGCTCTATTCTGTGGATAACTTAGGGAGAATTTCTCTTCCCTTCTGTGTTATATACTGTGTTGGGTGGGACTTGGGGAATAACAAGGCCCCAATGCATTCTGCTTTTTATTTCATAAAGAGGTGTTTTACTGAAATTAGCTCTTTGAGAATTTAATCACATTTTTGTCCCTCAAGTTCAGACATGAATTCATAAAGGGCTGCTCTGCAGACACATCTGAATATCATTCTACACTGGATTTAGAATTATTCCTCCACTAACAGATAAAGGTTAAACATACACGGTTGATTAAGGATTCCTTTAGAAACATTATCTTCAAGAAAATTCTTAAGTCCCTCTTGTAAACAGGACTCTGGTGGTCCACGTGACTAGACAGGCATGAATCCTGTGATGTACAAAGCATAGGTTTAGGCCTCCTGTGCCACCCTTGAAATACATATATTGAAGTTGAGGTAATCTGGACCACACCTACCAGCCTCTTCCTGCACTGTTCCCTTGTCTAACATTCCCAGTCTCCTAGCATCCTCTGCTCAGCATTGGCAATACAAAACAAAAATATTGCACTTTTTGACAGCAAACACTTTGCAAATACAAGAAGGGCACAAAGCAATTATAATAAAACATAAAATTTTAAGTATGCGCTTGGTAGAGGACCAGCCTAAAGAGGGAATAATCAACTGTCTGTTGAGAGGGGCACGCATTGGATAAGAAATGCAAATGTATGTACCATTTAACTAGAGTCTTGAAGGATGAGTCAGGGAAAGTTAAGACACAGAGATGGAGAGTGGCAGGTGTGGGTATGTCTAGGCAGGTTAGGGTGAATTTTCAGCTACCTGAGAGACAAAAGGGAAGATCCAAAGGTACAGGGGAGATGCTCAATAAATATTGAATAGGTGGAGGAATTAAAGGATAGCTGGTAACAAACTATATTCTATAACATCTTACTGTTTCTGAAATGTGTTTGCTTAAATACTTTATATACTTTTCACAATACTCATAAAAAGGCAGGGTTTTTAGGTCATATCTTGCAGATGACAAATTTGAAGTCTGAAAAGGCTAAATCACTGTCACAGGAGCGAAACAACTAAAATGCTACCAAGACCCCATAACCATGCCATTGCCACCTCAATGGCCCCAGAGCCTCAGAAATGACACCCATCAGAAGCAACAAGAGGGGCAGAAGTGGTCCCCTGACTTTTTGACCTGTGTGTGTTGTGTTTCAGGTTCTATTTTAGTTCTTAGTTTAGATGCAATGTAACAATAGCTTTGTTTGAAATTTTCTTTGCTGTTAAGATTCCCGACATCACAACCTGCCATCTGAGAGGCCAGAGCAATTTGTTTAGATGGTCTAGCTTTGAGAGAATTATTGAAGCCACACCTGCATTCTGAAATGCTGCCATGAAGCCTTAGCTGTAATCTGAAAACAAATTCTAACACTGAAATCTGATGTGATAAAACAGGTTACTACCTTTTCGTAAACAGATCATGCACAACACTATTCTATTGGAAAGTGGTGACCTTAATTTTTACCATCCAGGTAAAAACAACCCCCTCTTGTCTTCTAATATATGCTTTATTCCCACTGGATATTGGTATTGCCACCCTTTGTTTAAATTAAATCTTGAAGACATCACCAATGATTATAGTCATGAATGTCAGCATTAACGCCAGCAATAGTTGGTAACAAAAGCCAACCTATAGGAGTTTGTTTGCAGAAAGGGAGAAGTCTGGTTTAGGAAAATGAGGCAGAGTTGCTTGATATGCATTTCAATATTCACAACAAAGATTGATATAATACAATAAAAAATTATTGAAACCTGGAGGGACATTATTAATAAGAAAAGTTATTAAGTTACCTTCCCAAACACTCATTATCAACTTTGCCAGAAAAGTGCACATATTATAAACACTGATAAAAATGTTACATGATCCGTGTCTCATTATGTCCAGGATACAGCATGAAGAAAGAAAATGTGAAAGTTAACTGAAAAGTCATTGCAGGAGGAAGATTCCATTGAGGCTACTAAGTGGAATGGCAAAATGATCCATGTGACAAAGAAACATGACTAAATTCTATATATTTTTTTTTTCAAGACATAATCTCGCCCTGTCACCCAGGCTGGAGTGCAGTGGCACAATCTCAGCTCACTGCAACCTCCATCTCCCGGGTTCAAGCTATTCTCCTGCCTCAGACTCCCGAGTAGCTGGGATTACAGGCACATGCCACTACGCCCGGCTAATTTCTGTATTTTTAGTAGAGATGGGGTTTCACCATGTTGGCCAAGCTGGTCTCAAACTCCTGACCTCAGGAGATCTGCCCGCCTCAGCCTCCCAAAATGCTGAGATTACAGGCGTGAGCCACCTGACCCGGCCAGAACTAAATTCTCAGGGGAAGATTGATGACAGTTACTTTGAAAATATATCTCTTTTATATGAATTAACATTTTCAGTTTCAAAAACTATTTTACCTGTCCTGAATAGATAAAGTGCAAAACTACACTGTTATTTCTTGCTCTTCAGATGTGTTGTCATAATAATATGTATCTCATACCAATCCCATAGTCCACTGAATATATGGAATATAGAAATTTTCTGCAAAGGAATGCCCATCAAAAAGAATAGGTAACAAGGCTTCTAGGCCTGAAAGCATGCCTACATCTGTACAAAAAAAAATTTTTAAGAAAATATCACTTTTTAGGTTGGCTAGAGTAGGGGAATTATTTTTAATATCATTATTTCCATCATATATGTTAGTATAATATGCAATGTATTATTTTTAATATAATATTTTTAAGATTATTATTTCCTTTCATAATGTGCTTCAAATTCTGCTATATCACAAGCCACAATCATTTATCTATAGAAAACTGGAGCTAATTAATTTGAATTTGATGATGATGCCAATAGCAATTATAATGCAGTGATGAGTCTTGGCTTAGTCCTTGAAATGAGAAAGACAACAGCAATCAACTCCCTTAAAAAACATGTATTTAACAATTACTTTACGTTTGCTGCACCCTAAGGACAAAAAAAAAATGTTCCATTCTAGAAAGAGCAGAGCAGAATTGAGAAAAATGGGCCCCTTCTAGACTCCAAATATTACTGTCATTTTATTACAAAGCTGATTTTTTTGGCCACAAATGTTCATTCTACTTTTGTATTTAAAATGAGAGATTTATTATTATATGCATATGTTTATTTATTTGGAATTATATTTTATTCATGACACACCTAATAACTAAAAACATTAGTTGTTATCATTAAAGTTAAAATTATCTTACATAGATATAATTACAAAATCTCGATCAAATATGCTTAAGATGTTTTTCTCCTTATTTTCAACTTAGAAATAAATTTCTTAGTTTTCCATAAGCTCTCTAATATCTAGTTCTCCATTTTTCTTTCTATTCTGTAGTTTTATTTTTCAGTTTTCTCAACTAGATACCTTAAAAAACCCATTACTATATTTAAATGAAGAAAATAAAGCACTCATTCTCAGAAAAAAAAGACTTTATTTTGCATTACTTGATTTCATAATTTCAGTGGTTGCAGCTGTTGAATTTCATCACCTACTAGCTGACCAATATCAGTCATAGTAAAATGTCATGCAGCTATACCATAAAATCACATGTGGTATATATATAGATAGATATAGATATAGATATAGATGTAGATATAGATATAGATATGAATTACAATCTGACAAATTATTTCTCTCTTTTCTTTTTTCCTTCTGGTTTTCTTTCCTCCCTTCCTTGCTTCTTTCTTCCCTTTCTTCCTTCTTTTTTTCCCACCTTCTTTTCTTCCTTCCTCCCTTCCTTGCTTCCTGTCTTATTTTCCTCCCTTCCATCTTTTTCGTTCCATTGCACTTTTCTTCCTTCATTTATTCCTTCCATCCATTCTTTGTTGTTCACCACTCTAGGATGCAGTCTATATTGGTTTATATTCCTTCATTTGTTCAAGTGGTTCTGGGAAACCTGAATTACTTACCAGTTCAGTTAAAGTTTATTTTAGTGGTGCTTTCATCACTCCCTCATACCTTGACACTTTCCAGGAATGCACCTTGGTGAATCACTTTGTGATCAAATTCTGAGCAGTGACAAGCACATATCTAATCAAGTGACCCTAACATAGCAGGTGAGTGCTCTAAAGAAGCTATATTCAACATGATGGAACGATAGAAAAAGAGGAGGTTAACCCTATCTGGCAGAACTTGAGAGGCTTCCAGAAAGAGGTAATATTTGATCTTGAATGGAATAATGAAGAGGAAGTAGTCAGACAGACAAGATAGGGTATTCCATTTGGAAGGAAACCAGGAGAAATGACTCTAATCCAATCAACAACATCAACAGCAACAACAAAAATCATTGACTTAGTTAATATAGTTGTAAAATTTTATTGTTAAATATATATTTCATAGCCAAAGTCTAATCTTATTTAGTCGCTGGTGGAGTTAAGTAAGACTTATAAAAAGTTCGTTTTGAAACCATGTTCCAGGAAAGCTATACTTAGCCTGAAAGAGCAGGCAGTGCTGCTAACCATCATAATGTTGTTCACATCATGCTGTTCCTGTCAGGGTAGACTGGATTGCTCTCAGGGTGATCAAAGGAGACCCTGGAAATGCCAGTGACTCATGACGGTAAGATGTTGGGGAAATATCTTGAAAACTGGCATGTATTCGTGTGCTCTGATTTGTGAGACTTGTCAGAAATCTGAAATTGCTTTCTTTCTGTTGTAATGTCAGGTGATTTGTGCTGGGTATTATTTGAAACATTTAAACATTTTTCATACCTGTACTAATAGTGATGAATACCCTCAGCCATATGTGATATTGTCTCCTAGGAACAAGGAAGGAGTATTCATATTCATTTCAGATGCTTTTTTTTTGCCACACTATTGATATCTACACCTAATTATTTTACAAATCTCCCAGGTTGCACACATTATGAGTCTTTTTTGTATAAATACACTTTTATATTCTATTGGTTGCCTACTTTTTATGTTTCTATAAATATAGACTAGAACCCTATTCATAGAACAGATGTGTAGGTACATAAAAATGTGAAAAGTGTTATTGATTGCTATATTTCCTTAACATTACTGATATGGAAATTGAAAATCATAAATCCAGGAATAAAGCAATCCAAAACCATCTGAATGCAATGAGATACAAATGCTTTAAAGTTGTAGAACTTTATAGCCAAAAGTTATCTTAAAATGATTTACTTCAGTCTCCTATTATTGAATATAGGAAACTGAGGTCAAATGAGGTTATAACTTACTCCAGATTCCTCAGTTATTGAAAAATCCTGGAGTTAGAATACCAGTTTCATGACTCCGAGCCACATGTTGTTTCAGTTGATCTATTGTATATACTCCCATATAATTCATTTTTTCTTTAAATATATTGATAAAATCAGAGGTTTAGAAGGGCCTTCAAATATCATTTATTCCTCTTGTTTTTCCAGTGGATAGAATCCTTGTTTTCTATACAGACAGTAAGCTATTAACTCATAAAGATAGGGACCATGTAAATTAGAGTATTATTCAAATGCTATCCCCAAATTATCAACTTTCTGCTTAAATAAGTCAAATGAAGTTAACTTATCAAGTGAAAAGTATTACATTTTAACATAAATGTTACTCTGATATTGAATTAAAATTCAATCAAAATGCCACATAATGTACATAAATGATACAAGAAAGTTTGTCAGTGACATATCCATTCTAAAGTAAAGGGACTTCATTACCATGCTGAAAAGAGCAGTATCATTAAAGGATGTTGATAAATTGTCTCCATTGCCAAGGATTGGTCAGTTTTTAAGTCAACTCACCTATAAAAAGTTTAACCTATAAAATGAGACATTCTCCAGATAACCCCATATTCTACTAGACTTATATCCAGTCAAATGCATATAGCTGACATTGCTACACCATTCAACAAGTGTACTGAGACCATACTTTGTGGAGCACTGAGTATGAATGCATTTTCACAAATTGGGCTTTGGTCTCTACCATCATATGCTTCATGAACCATTCCCCTCTGCATCTCTGAGGGAGAGCTTTGATGAGATAAAACAGTCTGGGTTCCAATCGCTGCTCTGGCACATGCTAACTGAGTAGGTCCTTTCTACCTGCAATACTTTTGTTTGTAAAATAGAATGAAAATACCTCTCTCATAAAGTTTAGGGAACATAAAATGAGGTGGTACTTATAAAATACCCAAGTGCAGTTTCTAGAATATAAGGCAGAATTGAAAATATTTAAGTACGAGATATTGTGATTCACTTTGATTCAAATAAATCAATAGGAAAAATGTTTCGATAGCATTTAATGGCAAACATTTAGGAAAGGTCATTGTTTTTGACATAAATGCGTTTGATAATTCAGTATATCAGAATACAGGGCTCTTCATTCATCTTTACTGAAAACATAATAGAGAAGGTTGGAAAATATTTACAGAGCAGTTACCATAATGCAACAAATACATATTTTATTCTGTCACTGTATAGTAGATTTTGGGCAAGTTTGTTGCAAATGAAAGAAACCCTTCTGTAACATTTTGTTTTCATTTTAAGATTTTTATTTTTATTTTCACTGCACTGTAATCCTTAGCCTCAAGACAACAATTACAACAAGGAGCTTGTTATGCCTTTTTATGGCAAATGTTATATGTTAGAGTATTTTTTATAGAAAATTGGATTAACTCATAGAAATTGTAAAGTACACACTAGCACTCTGATGTTTAGCTTATTATCTATTCCTATCTTTGCTAAATATGCAACATATCTATTTACTTCTCTATCAGAAAGCTTTAAATTTATCCTTTCAAGCCTATTTACAAAAAATAAATTTTTGAATCAAATACACTAATTTCTAAACAAAACATATATTATTTCTTACACAATGAAAGGTAAGCAAAGAACCAATGTCGACTATAGCTAGTAAAGTTAGTGCTTTCATTACATATTACATATTCACCATTTGACAACCACCGTAAGGCTGATAAAATAATGAAAGAAGAATAATTTTGCCTTTTCTTAGGTGAAAATGTTTACCACACCAGGGCTCAGAATTGAGTTACCTGTCCTGCTGGAACCTGAACTTTTCTTTTAATCTCTATCCCTACATTCCTGTAATAATTGCCTATAAAGACTGATGTCCTTCCTAAAATCTGGGACATGTAATATAATCTCGCTAGATGTCTTACTAGATACTGGTATTCTAGCTAGAAACCCAGCTTTATGGCTGGTGCCTAACAACTGTTGAGAGATCTCCCCACGTCTCAATTCCTGTTGCTTTATCCACATCTCTGAACAAGGCCTTGTCCAAATTCTCTGGAAATTTGCTAGTCACAGAAGCAGTAACCAAACAAGGCTTTTGTTTTACTGTGCCTCAATTATATCCCATAGTTAATGAAAACGTATGAAATATCTTTCTAATTATTTGTGCCTTCTTCAATTTCTTTTAATGTTTTATAGTTTATGATGCACAGATCTTTCACCTTCTTGGTTAAATTTATTCCTAACAATTTTTGCAGCTATTGTTAATGAGATTGCTTTCTAGATTTCTTTTTCAGATAGTTTGTTGTTAGTACATAGAAATGCTACTAATTTTTGACGGTGGATTTTGTATCATGTGACTACTGAATTTATTAGTTCTAATAGGTTTTGGAGGAGTCTTTAAGGGTTTCTACGTATAAAATCATGTCATATGTAAGTGTGGACAATTTAACTTATTTCTTTCCAATTTAGATGCCTTTTATTTCTTTCTTTTGATTAATTGCTCTGGCTACGACTTCCAGTACTACATGGAACAGAAGTGGTGAGAGAGGGCAACTTCGTCTTGTTCCTGATCTTAGAGAAAAAGCTTTCATTTTTCACACTTCACTATAATGGTAGCTGTGGGCTTGTCACATATGGCCTTTATTATGTGGAGGTACTGTCCATCTATACCTAATTTGTTATGAGTTTTTATTATAAAAGAATATTAAATTTAGTCTAATACTTTTTCTGCATCAACTGAGATGGTTTTGTGTTTTCTATCTTTTATTCTCTTAAGCTGGTGTATCATAATAATTGATTTTTGTATTTCGAACCATCCTTGCATCTCAGGGGTAAATCCCACTTGATTATAGTGTGTGATGCTTTTAATGTGCTGTTGAATTCAGTTTGCTAGTGTTTTGTTGAGAATATTTTCATCTATGTTCATCAGGGACATTGAACTGTAATTTTTCCCTGTAGTTTCATTGTCTGACTTTGGTATCAGTATAATGCTGGCATTGTAAAATAATTTTGCAAGTGTTCTCTCCTCTTCAATTTTTTGGAAGGGTTTTAGATGAATTGGCATTAAAGTTTTCTCATATGTTTGATAGAATTAACCACTGAAGCTACCAGATCTTGGGCTTTTCTTTGTTTGAAAGTGTTTTATTACTAATTTATTCTCCATAATTGTTAATATTCTGTTCAGATTTTCTATTTCTTTATGACTTAATTTTACTAGGTTGTAAGTTTCTAGGAATTTATTTCTTCTTGGTTATCCACTTTTACCTCATGTAACTGTTCACAGTAATCTCTTATAATCTTTTGTATTTCTGTGGTATCAATGAAAATGTCTCCTTTTTTATTAATAATTTCATTTGTTTGAGTCTTCTCTCCTTTTTGTTACTCTAGCTATAAGTTTTTCAATTTGGTTTACTGTTACAAATAACTAGCTCTAGTTCATGGGTCTTTTCTATTATTTTTCTAGCCTCTACTTCATTTATTTCTGCTCTTATGCTTATTCTTGTTTCTTCTGCAAACTTCGGAATTAGTTTACTCTTTTTCTAGTTCCATGGGTTGAAAAATGAGGTTGTTTTGTTGACTGTGGGTTTGTCATAGATGGCTATCATTATTTTGAGGTATGTTTCTTCAATACCTAGTTTATTGAGAGGTTTTAACATGAAGGGATGTTGAATTTTATCAAAAGCCTTTTCTGCATATACTGAGATAATCATATGAATATTGTCTTTATTTATTTATTTATTTATTTATTTATTTATTTATTTATTGGAGACAGAGTCTCACTCTGTCACCCAGGCTGGAGTGCAGTGGTGTATTCTTGGGTCACTTCAACCTCTGCCTCCCAGGTTTAAGCAATTCTCAAGCCTCAGCCTCCTGAATAGCTGGGATTACAGACATGTGTCACCACACCCAGGTAATTTTTTTTTGTGGGCGGGGTTGTCTTTAGTTCTGTTTCTGTGATGAAACACATTTATTGATTGGTATATGTTGAACCAACTTTGCATCCCAGGGATGAAGCCTACTTGATCAGGGTGAATTGACTTTTTAATATGCTGCTGAATTCAGGGTGCAGGTATTTTGTTGAGGAGTTTTGCATCGATGATTTTCAAGAATATTGGCCTGGAACCAATCCAAATGTGATGGCATTTGCAATGATCTGGATGAGATTGGAGACTATTATTCCTAAGTGAAGTAACTCAGGAATGGAAAACCAAACATTGTGTGTTCTCACTGATATGTGGGAGCTAAGCTGTAAGGACGCAAAGGCATAAGAATGATACAGTGGGCCGGGCACGGTGGCTCACACCTGTAATCCCAGCTCTTTGGGAGTCCGAGGCGGGCCGATCATTTGAGGGCAGGAGTTCGAGACCAGCCTGACCAATATGGTGAAACCCCGTCTCTACCGAAAATACAAAAATTTGCTGGGTATGGTGGTGTATGCCTGTAATCCCAGCTACTCGGGAGACTGAGGCAGGAGAATCACTTGAACCTGGGAGGTGGAGATTGCAGTGAGCTGAGATCGTGCCACGGCACTCCAGCCTGGGTAACAGAGTGAGACTCCGTTTCAAAAAAACAACAACAACAACAAAAAAACCCAGAATGAATGTTACAGTGGACTTTGGGGACTTGGGGAGAAGAGTGGGAGGGGGTGAGGGATAAAAGACAACATATATGGTGCAGTGTATACTACTCGGGTGATGGGTGCACCAAGATCTCACAAATAACCACTAAAGAACTTACTCATGTAACCAAACACCACCTGTACCCCAATAACTTATGGAAAAATAAAATAATAATAATTTTAAAAAAGAATATTGGCCTGAAGTTTTCGTTTTTGGCTGTGTCTCTGCTAGGTTTTGGTATCGAGATAATGCTGGCCACATAGAATGAGTTGGGGAGGAGTCCCTCTTCTTCAATTTTTGGGATAGTTTCTGTAAGAATGGTACCAGCTCTTTTTTCATACATCTGGTAGTATTCAGCTGTGAATCCATCAGGTCTTGTGTGTGTGTGCATGTGTGCGTGTGTGTGTGTTTGTGTGGTTGGCAGGCTACTTATTACTGATTGAATTTCAGAACTTATCATTGGTCTGTTAAGGGAATCAGTTTCCTCCTGGGTCAGTCCTGGGAGGGTGTATCTGTCCAGGAATGTCTCCACTTCTTCTAGGTTTTCTAGTTTGTGTGTATCTTGGCCACTGCCCTCTTTTTTCATAATGTTAGTATTCATTGCTATAAACTTCTCGGGACTGATTTTGCTGCATCTAATAAGTTCTGTAAGTTGTGTTTCCATTTTCATTTGTCTTAAGAAATGTTTTTGTTTCCCTTTGGATTTCGTTTTTGAGCAATTTGTTGTTCAGGAGTATGTTATTTAATTTCCAAATACTTGTAAAATTTTAATTTTTCCTCCTTTTAGTGATTTATAGTGTCATATCATTGTAGTCATAAAAATACTTGTATTGTGGTTCTCCAGAGAGACAGAAACAATAAGAAATGGATAGATAGATGGATAGATAGATGATAGATAGATAGATAGATAGATAGATAGATAGATAGATAGATAGATAAATAGACATATCAGAGGAGATTTATTAGGGGAATTGTCATACATGATTCAGGGTTTCAGAAGTCCCATAATAGGACATCTGCAAGCTGAAGAATCAGGGAAGCTGGTAGTGTGGCTCAGTCCAAGTCCAAATTTCTCATAACCAAAGAAGCCAGTGATGTAACTCTAAGTCTATGGCCCAAAGCCTGAGAGCCCAAGGGGCTGCTGGTGCCAGTCTCTGATTTCAAAAGCTGAAGAACCTGGAATTCAGACATCTAAGGGCAAGAGAAAAGTCAGGTATTGGCTGCAGAAGAGAGAGCAAGAATTTACCATTCAGGACATAGGCATGGGCAAGGACTTCATGTCCAAAACACCAAAAGCAATGGCAACAAAAGCCAAAATTGACAAATGGGATCTAATTAAACTAAAGAGCTTCTGCACAGCAAAAGAAACTACCATCAGAGTGAACAGGCAACCTACAAAATGGGAGAAAATTTTCGCAACCTACTCATCTGACAAAGGGCTGATATCCAGAATCTACAATGAACTCAAACAAATTTACAAGATAAAAACAAACAACCCCATCAAAAAGTGGGTGAAGGACATGAACAGACACTTCTCAAAAGAAGACATTTATGCAGTCAAAAAACACATGAAAAAATGCTCACCATCACTGGCCATCAGAGAAATGCAAATCAAAACCATAATGAGATACCATCTCACACCAGTTAGAATGGCAATCATTAAAAAGTCAGGAAACAACAGGTGCTGGAGAGGATGTGGAGAAATAGGAGCACTTTTACACTGTTGGTGGGACTGTAAACTAGTTCAACCATTGTGGAAGTCAGTGTGGTGACTCCTCAGGGATCTAGAACTAGAAATGCCATTTGACCCAGCCATCCCATTACTGGGTATATACCCAAAGGACTATAAACCATGCTGCTATAAGGACACATGCACACGTATGTTTATTGCGGCATTATTCACAATAGCAAAGACTTGGAACCAACCCAAATGTCCAACAATAATAGACTGGATTAAGAAAATGTGGCACATATACACCATGGAATACTATGCAGCCATAAAAAATGATGAGTTCATGTCCTTTGTAGGGACATGGATGAAATTGGAAATCATCATTCTCAGTAAACTATCGCAAGGACAAAAAACCAAACACCGCATGTTCTCACTCATAAGTGGGAACTGAACAATGAGAACCCATGGACACAGGAAGGGGAACATCACACTCTGGGGACTGTTGTGGGGTTGGGGGGAGGGGGGAGGGATAGCATTAGGAGATATACCTAATGCTAAATGACGAGTTAATGGGTGCAGCACACCAGCATGGCACATGTATACATATGTAACTAACCTGCACATTGTGCACATGTACCCTAAAACTTAAAGTATAATAATAATAAAATAAAATAAAATAAAATAAAGAATTTACCTTTTCTCTGACATTTTGTTCAATGAGCATGGGACTGCAGAGGCCAGCCTGGAATTTGGGGTGGCAGGGGCTGACCCAGCACTGGGAAGGCCTAAAGCCTGTATTAAGGGTTCTTGTCTGGTGCCTAGGACCATGGAGACCAACCTGGAGTTGAGGCTGCAGGGCCCAGACAGGTGCTGTCACCAGTCTCGAGGGAAGGGTGGGCTTGGATTCTGAGTTCATGGGGACAGTTTGAAGCATTGGGCTACCAAGGCTGGTCTGGAAATAGGGCAAGCCTGGAGATTGAGGCTGAGGGAGCTGGCCTGGCTTGGCATGGGCCTGAAGTTGGGGCTCACTGTGGCTAATCTGGTACTGAGGCGAGTCTGAAGGCTTGGTCTGTGGTACTAGCTTGAAGCCTTGGGCATTGGGAGCTGGCCTAATGCCAGATTTCAATAAGCAGGCTCACTGCTGTGGTCCAGGGCAAGATTAGGAACTCACTTCACTCTCCTTCCCCCACATGGAGGGTATCTCTTCCAGTAATGTGCTGCCTGTACTGGGAGAAGGGGTGATTCAGGTAATGTGAAACTGTTTTTTCCTACCCTCTTCCAGGTGTCTTTGTTTTATTTCTGTACTACAACCAAGTGCTATAATCTCACATCTGGATTACTTGGTTCTTTTGAAGGTATTTCATATATGGGTAGTTGTTCAAATTGATGTTCTACAAGGGGATGAGCACTGGAAAGTCCTTTTCCCTGCTATGGTTCTCAATGAAGCCTGCACTGTCCTAGAACTAGAGACATGCTCTATATTTTATATGGTTTCACAACAGACAACCAGGCCCTTTTGGCACTGTTTATCTGACAAAATTTAATCCTAATCCATTTTTCAGGAATCTCCCATTGGAAGAACAAAGAAAATAAATATAGAAGAGTGAGGAAAACTGTTTGCTTTTTTTGTTGTTGTTTAAAAAAGCATTAGAAATACTAGTCCTCATTTCTTTCAGACCCAATTCACTTCATACTTACTAAATCAGAATCTCCTTTCTTACAAGATCCCCAGGGAATGCATGTTCCCGTCTCAAGGGGATGTGAACAAGGGGAGGGATAAGGACGGCTCAAAAATTCCAAGGGCTTTTACCAGTTTGCACAGGCAGAGGGAAGCCAAAAGCTCAACTAGTAAAACATTTCACCCTTTTGCCGGCATGTTTTTTGGGCTTCTGTGTTCCCTTCCCCTGAGCCCAATCCTAAGCCAACCGGTTTAAGGTTTGGGAAATTAACTCTTTCCAGCTTGGAGGACGCAACTGAGAAGAGTGTCCCATAGTACAGAGACACAATTACCTATCAGTGAAGAGAGGACAGAGGAGGAGAAAGGAATAAAAAGAAGGTGTTTTTTTCAAAGGAGTCCCAGGGTTTCAGGATGCATTCTAAAGGGGTACAGACTGAAGATGAGTGGCTACCTGTCTAGAAAGAAGGGAGCAGGCATCCCTGGTTCCCTTCTTTTCCTAGCAGATACCTGGGGATAAATGAGGGAGAAAGAGAAGAGTGTCCTATTTTCATTTTCCATCCTTGCATCCACGAGTTCTGGCAACCTTGGCAGGTGCTGCCATGGGTGTCAAAGTGACTTGCACCCTGGAAGCAGGGAGGCCTACAGAACAGGAATTACCCGCTCTTACCTATGTCTCTTTCCCACCTGCTGTCAGTAGCCTTAGAGTTCTCTAGACCTCATTTATGCCATGGATATTAACATGGCCTTTATCCATGAAACAGGAAGCTTGGGGTTGGCTTAATTGGCAGGAATCAGCCACACTCGCCTGCGCTGTGTCTTTTAACTTCTGTTGTCATTTGCATCTGGATCCCTCAGATCCAGTTTTCTTTCCTAGGGCTTTGACCTGAAGCTTGAAATTGAGTCTGGGGCAAAAAAATGCCTCTCGGTGGGGGCAGAGCTTGCATGGACTCCTTGTCATAAGCCAAATGCTAAGGTGAAACTGTGGAAACTGTGAGTCCTTCTTCAACAAGGGAGAGAAAATTATGAATTGTGACATACCCAGATAACTGGTAGCTTTCATTATGCTTGCTAGGTTTTTGGTGCATGGTGCTTGGCTTTGGTTAGCTCCCTTTGTTTAACTTTCCCAAAAGGAAACCTCCAGGTGATGGGCATCCTATTTATTCCAATCACCTGGCAGGATTTGCTGGATAATTGCTCAGAGCTAGAATACTGATCCAGATTTTTACGTTACCCATCCCTCTTGTTCTTTCTAAGCTGCAGCCAAAGATTGCTGGTTGGTCCACAGGAACAAGCAGCATTAGTCTAAAACATAGGTGAAAACTTAAAAAACAATGAATGAGTTTAGAATTTAGTGACACATGTATGATAAGTTTTGGAACATAATTTCTCTCTTTACAGTCGTCATTTTTGTTAACAAACAAATGATCATAAGACTGAGTTGTTAAATAGACTTTAGTCTTATACTTGGCCCGATTATTTGCCTGAAGTGCAGCAAGAATAATTATTTCTACATAGGCCTTTTGGATTGGTTTTGATGGAATTCTGTTCCACAAGGAATCTCATATAAGATCTTTTAAAGCCAAGCCCAACCATGGGTTTGTATACTCAAATACCTGTGAGTTGGGTGATCCTGTCCTCTTAAGGTTCCAAGATAAGTTTGGAGCTCCTAGACCTGTTAGAAAGTGACATCCTTTACTGACCACAGGTCAGGAACCCTGTCCAGGGACTGTGTAGGTAAGAGTATGAGGCCAGTTTTCCCAATGGGCTTCTATTAGCTCTGTAAGTCAAGCTTGACTCCTATAGATTCTTATCACACTGATGCAAACAAGTATATTGTCATAAGTTAAGAATACTCACAGAGAGTTTCCAAATTCTAGAGAAACCAGGCAGAGAGAAACAAACATGCTTCAAATTTTGTTCATAGAAGTATGCCTTACTCAATTATTAAAGGACTTAAATAGTTCAAAATAAGTTTCCTTGACTATGAAAACAAAACATGGATTAGCAATATTCCAACAAAAAGTCAAAAAGTTTGCTTCAGCTTTCTGAGTTCAGTCCATTAACTCTTGTTTTGCTTGATATTTGTGAACATTTCAGCTCTTCATGAGCCCTATACGTTTTCCTTTATTCCGATGTTACAATTTACAAAGTTATCAGAGGCCTGTATTTGAGAGTACCTGTTAAAAGTTCTGTAGCTTATTTTAAACCATCTTTTGAAAAGGATTCAAACAAGACAATTGCCTGTGAATAACAAAATGTTCAGGGTAGTTACGCTTAGAAACACAATTGACAAAGAAGTTTGGTTATCTCTGTGGTTTACAGTAACTTAACATAAAAACTATGTTAATTATGATGGATAGCATATACTCAGACATTAGAATTTTAGAAATTCCATATAATTTTGGAACATATATTAGCATTATTCACCAAGATATAACCTAAAGAAGATTGAGCATCATTTTGGCAATCCCATGTACTTAAACATGTCAAATAATCCTGTTTACCTCTGTTTTCTGGACACTTCAGGGGCCCTCTGAAGTATTCAAAAGCCAGGTGTCAGGGAAGACAATTTTGAAACTGAAGTTTGATTTGAAAAAGGCTGTTAAATGTTCAAGGTTTAAAACACTTGACATTATGAAATAGAATTCCAGATTACCGTAAGTTATTTATTTTGCCAAAATGATGACTCAGAAACTTCAAAGAAGCAAAAACCTTGTACAACCCTCTAAAAATTTTGCCAAAGAGCAGATTAGCACCTTAGGAGAACATTGTTATGCTTTTATTTCAATGCTCAATTTGCGGAAAAAACACATAATACCCTTTTTTGAATTGAGTCAATATGTTCACAGAGAGAACCTCTTCTGCAAGATTAATTTCCACAATTCTTCCACCACTTCATTGAACCTTCAGCTTTTTTCTAATTTAACTCAAAACAATCCTTTAACCCTAGGCAAAAGTTTACATTTCCATGCCTTCTTATAACCTTGTACTAAAAAATACATTTTACTGTTCTTACACACCTTGAATGTAAATCTATTTCTAGTAGTTTCAATTAACTCATATCAATTTTTAACTTTAAGGTGAAACAGCAAACCTTGCACCTGACCTGCATTTTACCAATGGTCTTTAGGGTTGCTTTTACTTCTTAAAGATTAAAGTCATGTGGACTGAAAGGTACCACAACATTAAACTTCCCTTTAAAAAATGTTAGATCCAAGTGTTTGTCTTTCTTTAGGCCAAATTAATCAGAGCTCTTTTTACAGACATCACACACAGTACATACATAGACAGGCAGAAGCAAATCCAGTCACTGGGTGGGGCCCTTTAAGAGGCAGGGGTAGGAAAACATGCAGATATCAAACCAGAAAGAAGCTTATTCCCTAAGGTAAGATTGCTAAACAAAGCCTGCCACCAGACTTACAAGCCATGCCCTCAGGATGTAAAACCAGATGGAGGCTTGATTTCACAAATAAAACTTTGCAGAAAATATTAACAGTAATAGTTGGGGAAGCCTGGCCTAGTAAAACATCTTCTAAAAGAAAAAAAAATAACTTTAAAAGTTAACTTGCTGATGAGGTAGAGAATGGGAAAGAAAAGAAACAGTTGAAAATTGTTTGGGGAAGAACCTCTTATTCTAATGCAAGTGGTTCCTCCACCAGGGAGAAAAGTTTAATTACTGTAATTACTGTCCAATGGAGCTGAATCTCTTGGCTGGGGAAGGGGAAGGCTGCACTGGTACCTGGCTGGGACCCAGCCAGCTGGCTGTGCAGGACCCTTGGACCATGCGTCCCAGGCCCAGCAGGGAGCGGGGAGCGGTGGGGACCTGCTGCTCACTGGTTCCTCCCAAAAAAGGAAGAAAAAGGCCATGAGAATGAAAAGGCTCAGAAGCGAGAGGGAAAAAGAATTTTTGGTTTGCATCTCACTCACCGCTTTTCAAGCTCCCACATTGCACGCCAAAAATGTTGCAGGACTTTTCCTTAGTTCAGTTAAAGATGGAGTCCTTGTCTGTCCCATGGCCATGAAAATTTAGTCTCGCAGGTGGTTTGAATGGTGAGTAAAGCAGCATTTAATTGAGTGAAAAGGGAAAAAAAAAGGGGGAAATAGGGACTTCCGCAAGACTCTTCGAGGACTCCCTCCCACCTGGCTCAGTGAGACATAGCATCTTATTTGATCTTAACAACGAATAAAGTATTAATGAGTTAGAAAAGTTAACTTGTAGGAGATTATAGTAATAAGAAGTATAGCAGAAACTTATTGCAATTAACTGTATCTGACTCAAAAAATCCTGCTATTTCCATTATGTCACAATGTTTCACCGCATACTTAAATATGGCCTCACCTACAGTTTACCAAAATCAATTTTCATTGTTTTCTTGTCCATCTCTACATAAATAAGAGTAGTTTAAAATTATATGTTACTTAACTGTTTTATAAAGCTTATTCACATATTTTAATTTGCACCACTCAATAGTTCTGTGAAATTGGCAAAAATGTGACTATTTTCTCCTTTTTAAAGATTATTTGAAATTTATATTGGTTAACAAACTTCTGTAGAGTGAACAGCTACTAAAATGGCAGTGTCCAGACCTGAACCTAAAAGTTACGAGCCTGAACCTTTGAAACCTAAAATAGATCACACTGACTTAAACAATTATGTGTGTTTATTTGGATATTGTAGTGTTTTTTTAAAGCATACTAATTTATTAAATTATTTTTATTATGAGCTAAAGTACAGCTTAAGAAATGGTCAAAATGTAAATATCTATAATTTGTGATAACATTCAAATTACAGGTATGCCTCCCCAGAGAAAGAGACATTCCTCATGGAAGAGCCTAGATACAAGAAAGAATTAAGCAAAAAATAGTAAACACATATATAGATGCATATTCTGTTAAAACATTTACAATGTCTAGGAGTTTATATATAGAATTAAATGCAGAAAAACATCAGTATACAAATTGTGATGTGATAAAGTGTATTAAGCATCTTGCAATTGAAGTATTGATTGTCCTTATTTTTTAATCAACTTTATTGTGAAATGTAAAACAATATAGAAAATCCATAAAATATAAATGCATAGTTTAATAGAAAGTTGAAAAGTAAATACCTATGTAACCACGCCATTTTCCTACCATTCACAGCCTCTTGCCTCTCCCCTGTCAGAGTAAAGCTTACTCTGTCTATTACGGTCATCATTTTATTTTTGTTACTATAAAAATTTGGTAGTTCAACTTATGGTCAATATTTGTAAACATTTTATGTGTTAATAAAAAATGTATACTGTGCTGTTATCGGTTGAAATGATTTGTGTATACTTATGCACACACATACATATTACCATTAAGACGTGTTTGTTAATGGTGTTCAGATCTGCTATACCCTGGTTGATTTTATTTTGTGTGTAATTATTACCAAAAGAAGAGCATGCTAAAGTCTCCCACAGTGACTGTGGGGTTTATCCATTTCTCATTATAATTTTACATATATTGCCTCTGTGTGTGTGTGTGTGTGTGTGTGTGTGTGTGTGTGTGTGTGGATTTTGAGACTACGCTATTGTTTTATCTACCTCATGAAATGAATCATCTTTATGAACTGGCTACTGTAATGGTTTTTTTACTTAGCAGATCTATATTATGTCTGCTTCATAGGCATATATAAATGACTATTTTTCTTTCTTTTTTTCTTCCATTATGGTCACCACCCAGATGACATTACTGCATGTATTATGGATGAATTTTGTTCTGTTTTTCTCTAACACTAAGGTTGTATCCCTTTTTGATTCTAGATTCACCTCTTCAGGTATTCTGGGTCCTCACTTCTATATCCTTCCTTCCTTCTTTCCATAATGACTAGTTGTCAAAAGAATTTAATCCCCTAAATAAAAGAAATACAAAGTCTCTCATGGTTGTTGGTGGTAGGAGCTAGGTGAGAAGAGTTGCTCTGTTTTCTATTAAGCTTCCCAGATTCTCACTTTGTAGTACAACCTTGACCTGTAGTTTTCCCATATATTTTCTGCTCTTTGATGCTTTTAATGTTTTATTAGTTGTATCCAATATAAAGTTGCTTTTTATTGGAAGGGTTTATCTAAATAATGTTACTTGAGTTAAGCAGAGCTTCTGGAACTTAAGAAACTGAACAACAAGTTTGAAATAATCCATGATGATAAAGAAGCTAATTGTCTCTACCTTTATGAATACAGCTAATTGGAAGAACATAAAGAACTGGAAAAGGAAATAAAGAGAAGTGTTGATGTAGGTTCAGAAGAAACGGATGCTCCTAGGTAGAGCCAAAGAATTCCCAATATATGAAGAGAAAGAATCACAGACATAACTTATTCCCCACTTTCCATGTGGACCTCTAAGAGTGCAACATGCCAATATCGGCAGCCTTAGAGTAGAAATAATGCAGGTGTAATTGCAAAGATATTCTAGGGCTTTTCTAAGTCTCTTGCATCACTAAATTTCTTTTTTAAAAAATTCAATATGTAATAATAAAGAGGAACAGGAAAGTAAAGCCCAAAATATCACATGTACCCTATACATATATCCAATTATTACGTTCCTAATATCCTAAATATCCTGATTTGATCATTACACACTGTATGTATGCATCAAAATATCACATATACCCCATACATATATATAGGAAATATACCCTATATACAATCATATTCATCATCTCAACCATTTATTCTCTGTGTTGAGAACATTTTAAATCTTCTCATAGATATTTTAAAATATGTAAGATATGACTGTTAACTGTAATCACCCTACTGTGCTGTCAAACATTAGAACTTTATGTTTGTATTCATTAATCATATTTATTTGTAAAACAATTGGCTCTTAGAAAAAGGCAGGTTTTGAACATCTGGAGATGTCTAGTGTCCCTGGAAAGAATGTGGAGGTAGTCTGAGGAGGGCACAATAAATTTGAAGGGACTCAATGTTTTAGATGAGGAGGATGGCATATGTCCCTGGTAGATCTGACATCAAAGGTCAGGACAGCCAGCAGACATAAACAGATGGAATTGATGAAAAAGTCAGAGGTATCTCATAGTGGGCAGAAAATGCTATAAACCAAACACAAAACCTAATGTGACATTTTAAAACACCACACCATCCACAGCATTTGTAGCCAAGAGGAAAACAGATGAAGATGAAAATTTAGAATTTTCTCCCTAAATAATAATGAGAAAAATCCAGAAATTGCTGCTTTTACCATTAAGTTTCCAGTTTATGTTTTCTTTGTTCTGCAAATAGGAAAATAGATAGCAAAGTTTGATACTTTAATTGATAGCTTAAGCTACATCTTTGAACACAAAATTTTATGACTGTGAAATTTATTGTACCCTAAATGGGAGCTGATCTTATATTCCAAAGAATTTTAATTCCCTTTCAAAAATTTATTGTTGAAGTGTGAGTCACACAACATAAGGTTAACCATTTTAAAGTGAGCAATTTAGTGCAATGTGATACATTCAAAATTTTGTGCAACTACCACCTGAATCTAATTCCAAAATATTTTAATCACACCCCAAAAAATCCTGTAGCCACTCAGCATTTGCTTACAATTCTTTTCTCCCCACTGCTTCTAGTAACTACCAGTCTCTTTTCAGTGTATTTATTTAGTTTGTATGTTTCATATAAACTGAATCATACAAAGTGTGAACTTTTCTGTCTGGCTTATTTCACTTAGCATAATGTTTTGAGGTTCATCCACATTGTAGCACGCATCAATACCTCATTTTTTAAAAGATAAATAATATTTTATTGTATGTACAAATGTTTCTTCATCTGTTTGGACATCTCTGGCATTTTGCTATTGTGTATAGTGCTGGTACAGACATGTAAGTACATATATTTATTTAAATACATTTTTTATTTATCTTGGGTAAATACTTCAGAGTGGAATTTTTGGAACACACTGGAATTCTATGTTTAACTTTTTGAAGAACTGCCAAACTGTTTTCCACAGTAGCTGAACCACTTTACATTTCCACCAGCAATACACAAGAATTCCACTTTCTTCACATACATGCCAACACTTATTTTCTGTTTTGTTGAGTATAGCCATCATAGTGGGCATGAAGTGGTATCTCATTGTGGTTTAATTTGCATTTACCTAAAGACTAATTATGCTGATGTTGAACATCTTTTCATGTACTTGTTGGCTACTTGTGTACTTTCTTTGAATGCATATCTACTAAAATTTTTGCCTATTTTAAAATTGGGTTGTTTGATTTTTTGTTATTGAGATGTAAGGTTTCTTACATATTCTGAATCCTAGACTTATCAGATATAAAGTTTGCAAATACTCTCTACCACTATGTAGGTTGTCTTTTCAGTTTCTTGATGATGTTCTTGATGCATAAACATTTTAAATTTTGATACAGTCCAATTTATGTACGTTTTATGTTGCTACTTATGCTTCTATGTTTACTCATGTAGTTATCTTCCCTGGAGTGTTTATTTCTTCTTGTAGTTTCAAGTTATTGTCTATTGTCCTTTCACTTCATCCTGAAGGTCTTCCTTTAACACTTATTGTAAGGATAGATCTATTAGCAAGAAATTCTCTTAAATTTTAATTATCTAGGAATGTTTAATTTTTTTTATCTTTGAAGGATAGTTTTGCTGGAGATAGAATTATTGGTTGACGTATTTTTTTTTTCTTTCAAAACTTTACATATGTCATCCCACTCTCTTCTGGCCTTCACAATTTCCTGTGAGAAAATGATTGATAATCTTACTGAGATTATCTTGTACAGAACTAGTCGTTTCTCTCTGGCTGTTTTCAAGACTCTCCTTGTCTCTGGCTTTTGAGAATGTGTTTATAATGTGTGTCATTGTAGATCTCTTTGGTTTTTTCCTACTTGAGGTACATTGAATGTGTAGATACATATAGTTTAACAAATTTAAGATGTTCAGGTCATAATTCATTTAAGCATTATTTCTATCCTTTTTTGTTTCTCTTCTCCTTGTGAGACTTCCCTATTATGTATATTGGTATGCCTGGACCATTCAATTTTCTTCTTTTATTCTTTTTGTTCCTAAAATAATTTTAATCACCCTGTCTTCAAAATCACTGATTCTTTCTTCTGCCTGATTAAATATGCTATTGAATCTCTCTAGTAATTTTTTTTTCATTTCATATATTTGTACTTTTCAGTTCCGGGATTTTGATCTAGTTCCTTTTTATAATTTCTACCTCTTTGTTCATATTCTCATTTTGTTCAGACATTGTGTGTTTTTTTCTTTTGGTACACTTTAGTTATTCACAAATGGTTTACTTCACTGAACATATTTAAGACTGTTGATTTAAAGTTGTTGTCTAGAAAGTCAAGTAGCTAGGCTTTCCCAGGAACAGTTTCTGTCAATTTATTTTATTCCTGTGAATGGGCCATACTTTTCTGGGTTTATTTGTGTGCCTTTTAATTTTTGTTGCAAACTGGCATATAGAATATTACGATGTGATAACTCTGGATATACTATCTTTCCCTTTCTCCTGGGTTTGCTGTTGTTGATTCTTGAGGGCTGTTGTCTTTTTCTTTAGTGATTTTTCAAATTGTATTTGTAAAGCCTCTCTTCCATGTTATGTGTGGTCATTGATGTTTCTGTTTGATATCTCAATGGGCAGTGGTTACCTGACAGTGATTTCCTTAAATGCCTGAAGCCGATGATAAAAATAACACTCTCCTAGTTTTTGCAGCTTAGCTCTGAGCTGATGCCCTTCTTAGTTGTTACTCAAAGTTGCCTAAAAATCTACCTTAGCACTCATATCCTGCTTATTTGAAGCACAAATCTGGCAGAGGTGAAAGCCTACATCCTTTTAGGTCATTAATAAGCATGTATTTGATCCTGAGCATGCATGTTCACAGTGGCCTTTCAGAAACTTTATTTCCCCAGTACGTTTCCTTCTTAGCCTCCACCTTCATAGATTATTTGGTCTGCCTGCTACTTGCCCACACTGCCATCACTTGCCTCAGAAGGTATAAATTATATCTTTACATATTTTGATAACTGCCATCACTGTCCAAAAACTGCTTCATTCCAATAGAGGGATGCAAAACAAAGGTCAGCCTCACTGCTAGTCTATCAGGGAACCACCAAAAAAGGTCAACATGTATATTCATGATGTGAATGTGTTATTTTAAAGTCCATATCAGGCCCTTGGCACCAGCAAAATGCACCAAGAATGCAGGGAGGTATCTACTGGGCTACTGACCTACTGAAAAATGGAAGATGGTAAGGAGATGATCAAAAGTGCTACAACACTGTCTTATCAAATTTCAACTCTCCTTTTATTCATATAGCAATTCTGTGTTATTTAAAATTTTGGATTAGATTTTTCAGAGTTATGGAGAATTTGATTCTATCACTCCTTTTCAGCTTGTTGTTTCAGTGGAGGAAACAAATATTTTGTACCTTACTCTGCCGTTTTCCATGATGTTAACTGAAAGAATTTTGGTGAGGCACATACCTGGCTCAAGGACAAATACCAATCTTGGATGGGAAGTGAAGTCATCAACTTGAGTCCAAGCCACATATCTTATGAGAGAAATTAGATTGACTCCCAGAATTCGTTACTGATTTGCAAACATTGGATTTTAATGAGATTGAGTGTATTACAGAACACATTACATCCACTGGACTGTTAGCAGAAGAAAAACACCAATGGAAAGCTACGAAAAAAGTTATCATAAAAGCCTCTATGTGGATTCTTAATTTCTCTTGTAAGTATTTAACTTCTTCTGGAAAAAAAAGAAAAGTGAGTTCCAAATCAGGTTTAAAGGTATTATCTGAAAACCTGTGCTTTCTGGAAAAAAAGCAGAACTCCATATCTACACTAAAAAGTTAAGTTTCTAGGGGCTGGTAAAGCATAGACATGACAACTAAAGCTATCATGATACCACAAGCATTCTACTTTCTGTTTTCTTTTCAAAAATATGTAATAAACTATACTCATTAAAAATATGGCCAAAATCAACCTTGAGCAAAAATAATAAAGCCAGGGTCATCAGACTACCTGGTTTAAAAATCTACTACAAAGCTATAGTAATCAATACAGCTTGGAGCTACTGGCATAAAAACTGACACAATTGGAAGAGAATAGTGAGCCCAGAAATATATTCAAATATTTATAGTCAATGGATTTTAGCAAAAATGCCAACAACACACAATAGTGAAATGACAGTCTCTTCAATAGATGGTGCTGTGAAAACTAGATATTTACAAGCAGAAAAATGAAATAAGAACTTCATCTCACACCATATATCAAAAAAATTCAAAATAAATACTTAAATATAATCCATGAAATTTCAAAACTACTAGACAGAAACATAGGGACGAACTCTATGGCATTGGTCTAGGCAAAGATTTTTTTCATATGACCCGAAAAGCAAAGGCTAGAAAAGAAAAAGTATACAAGTGAGATTACATTACACTTTTAAAAGCTTCTTCAAAGCCAACAATCAACAAAGTGAAGACACAACCTACTAAATGGGAAAAAATATTTTCAAACCATCATCTGATAAGTAGTTAATATCTAAAATATGTGAGGAACTCAAATAATAGTAAGAGAACAATGTGATTTTATAAAATGAGACATTTATCACAAGAATACATAAAAATGGACAACAGGTATATGAAGAAAGTACTCAGCATCACTAATTATCAGAGAAATGCAAATTAAAACCACAACAGGATGGCTATTGAAAATGGCTATTATCGAAAAGACAATAGATAACAAGTGTTGGCAAGGATGTGGAGAAAAGGGAACCATAGTACACTGTTATATGAATATATGAATATGAATATGAAATATGAAAAGGGAACCATAATACACTGTTATATGAATATAAATTAGTACAGCCATTATGTAAAACTGTATGTAGGTACCTCAAAAAATAATCAAATAATCCCCTTCCTGGGCATATATCCAAAGATAAAAAATCAGTATGTCAAGGAGATATCTGTACACCCATGTTTATTACAGTGCTATTCACAATGGCAACGATATGGAATAATACTAAATATCCATCAATAGATGAATAAAGAAAATGTTATATATATTACATATATTATATATATATATATATATATGTATTAGTCTGTTCTCATGGTGCTATGAAGAACTACCTGAGACTTGGTAATTTATAAAGGAAAGAGGTTTAATTGACTCACAGTTCCACATGGCTTGTGAGGCCTCAGGAAACTTACAATCATGATGGAAGGCACCTGTTCACAGTGGGGCAGGAGAGAGAATGAGTGAATGCTGAGTGAAGGGAGAAGCCCCTTATGAAACCATCAGATCTCATGAGAACTCACTCACTATCACGAGAACAGCATGGAAGGCAACCACCCCCATGATTCAATTATCTCACACCAGGTTCCTTCCACAACATGTGGGGATTATGGGATTACAATTCAAGATGAGATTTCAGTGGGAACACAAAACTAAACCATATTCATTCCACCCATGGCCCCTCTGAAATCTCATGTCCTCACAATTCAAAACACAATCATGCCCTTCCAACAGTTCCCCAAAGTCTTAACACATTCCAGCATTAACTCAAAAGTCCAAGTCCAAAGTCTCATCCAAGACAAGGCAAGTCTCTTCCACCTATGGGCCAGTAAAATCAAACACAAGTTAGTTCCTTCCAAGATACAATGAGGATACAGGCATTGGGTAAATACACCCATTTCAAGTGGGAGAAATTGGCCAAAACAAAGCAGCTACAGGCCCCGCGCAAGTCCAAAATTCAGCAGGGCAGCCAAATCTTAAAGCTCCAAAATGAGCTCCTTTGACTTCATATCTCACATCTGGGTTAGGCTGCTACAATAGGTGGGCACCCATGGCTTTGTGCAGCTCCACCCCTGCGGCTTTGCAGGATATAGCCCCACTCCTGGCTGCTTCTACAGGTTGGTGTTGAGAGTCTCCGGCTTTCCCAGGTGCACAGTGGAAGCTGTCAATGGATCTACCATTCCGGGGTCTGCGGGACAGTGGTCCTCTTGTCACAGTTCCACGAGGCAATGCCCCAGTGAGGACTGTGTCAGGACTCCAACCCCACATTTCTCTTCCACACTGCTCTAGAAAAGGTTCTCCATGAGGGCCCTGACCCTGCAGCAAACTTCTGCCTCAAAATCCAGGCATTCCCATACATCCTCTGTAATCTAGGCAGAGTTTCCATATCTCAGTTCTTGACTTCTGTGTATCTGCAGGCTCAACACCACATGGAAGCTGCCAAGGCATGGGGCTTGTACTCTCTGGAGCCACGGCCTGAGTTGTACCTCGGCCCCTTTTAGCCATGGCTAGAGCCCAAGTCCCTAGGCTGCACACAGCAGAGAGGCCCAGGGCCCAGCACACAAAACCATATTTTCCTCCTAGGTTTTCAGGCCTGTGATGGGAGAGGCTGACATGAAAGTCTCTGACACGTCCCGGAGACATTTTTCCCTTTGTCTTTCAGATTTGCATCTGGATCCGGCTTGAATTTCACCCCAGAAAATGGGTTTTTTGTTTTCTATCACGTTGTCAGTCTGCAAATTTTCCAATCTTTTATGCTCTGCTTCCTCTTGGATGATTTGCTGCTTAGAAATTTCTTCTTCCAGATACCCTAAATCATCTCTCTCAAGTTAAAATTTCCACTGATCTCTAGGGCACGGGCGAAATGCTGCCAGTCTCTTTGCTAAAGCATAGCAAGAGTCACCTTTACTCCAGTTCCCAAGAAGTTTCTCATCTCCATCTGAGACCACCTCAGCCTGGACTTCATTATCCATATCACTATCAGCATTTTAGTCAAACCCATTCAACAAGTCTCTAGGAAGTTCCAAACCTTTCCACATCTTCCTGTCTTCTGAGCCCTCCAAGTTTCTAAGAAGTTCCAAACTTTCCCACATTTTCCGGTCTTCTTCTGAACCCTTCAAACTGCTCCAACCTCTCCCTGTTGCCCAGTTCCAAAGTTGCTTCTAAATTTTCAGGTAACTTTATAGCAGCACCCCACTCTCTGCAGTACCAGTTTACTCTATTAGTCTGTTCTCACACTGCTAAGAAGAAATACCTGAGAGTGGGTAATTAATAAAGGAAAGAGTTTTAATTGACTCACAGTTCCACATGGCTTCAAAGGCCTCAAAAAACTTACAGTTATGGCAGAAGGCACCTCTTCACAGTGTGGCAGGAGAATGAGTGAATGCTGAGCGAAGGGGGAAGCCTCTTATGAAACCATCAGATCTCATGAGAACTCACTCACTGTGATGAGAACAGCATGGGGTCAAACCACCCCCTTGATTCAATTACCTCCCAACAGGCCCCTCCCTTGACACATGGGGATTATGGGAATACAATTCAAGATGAGATTTGGGTGGGGACAGAAAACTGAACCATATCAACATACAAAATGGAATACTATTCAGCTTTAGAAGAGAAGTCCTGTCATTTGCAACTGACAGCAACAATATCAATGAACCTGGAGGACATTGTGTTAAGTAAAATAAACCAGACCAAAGAAAAAGTCCAATACCAAATTATCTCATATACAGAATATAAAAAGAGTATAAAAAGCAAAAGTCATAGAAACAGAGAGTGAAATAGTGATTGATTACCAAAGGCTAGGGGGAGGAGAGAGAATTGGGGAGTTGTTGGCAAAAGGACACAAAATTTCAGTTAGGAGGAATAAGTTTAGGAGATTTATTGCACATAATGGTGACTACAGTTACTAACAATATATTGTATATTTGAAAATTGCTAAAATAGTAGAATTTGAGTGTTCTCACCACAAAAACTAAGTATGTGAGGAAATGCATAATTTAAATGGCTTGATTTAGCCATTTTACACTGTGTACATATATCAAAACATGTTATAAACCATAAATATATATAAAATTTACTTATGAATTTAAGTAAATATATATCCTCCAAAAAAGAAACAAAGAAAACAAATTTACAAGAAAAAACAAACACCATTATCCCCAGTAACACCATTAACTCTTAGGAACAAACACCATTTAACGCTATTAAAAAGTGGGCAAAGGAAATGAACAGACACTTTTCAAAAGAAGACACATGGCTGGGCGTGGTGGCTCATGCCTGTAATCCCAGCACTTTGGGAGCCTGAGGCAGGCGGATCACCTGAGGTCGGGAGTTCGAGACCAGCCTGACCAATATGGAGAAACCCCGTCTCTACTAAAAATACAAAATTAGCCAGGCATGGTGACACATGCCTGTAATCCCAACTACTTGGGAGGCTGAGGCAGGAAAATCACTTGAACCTGGGAGGCGGAGGTTGCAGTGAGCCGAGATCACGCCATTGCACTTCAGCCTGGGCAACAAGAGCAAAACTCCGTCTCAAAAATAAAAATAAAAAATAAAAGAAGACATAAGTGAAGCCTACAATCTCGTGAAAAAAAGCTCAACATCACTGTTCAATAGAGAAATGCAAATCAAAACCACAACGAGATACCATCTCATACCAGTCAGAATGGCTATTATTAAAAAGTCAAAAAATAACAGATGCTGGCAAGGTTGTGGAGAAGAAGGAACGCTTTGTTAGTGGGAGTGTAAATTAGTTCAACCATTTTGGAAGACAGTGTGGCAATTCCTCAAAGACAGAAAGAATTACCATTCAACCCAACAATCTCTTTATTGAGTACATATGCAAAGGAATATAAATAATTCTATTGTAAAGACACATGCATGCATATGTTCATTGCAGCACGATTCACAGTAGCAAAGACATGGAATCAACCTAAATACTTATCAATGACAGACTGGATAAAGAAATTGTGGTACATATATACCATGGAATACTATGCAGCCATAGAAAATAATGAGATCAAGTCCTTTGCAGGAACATGTTTGGAGCTAGAGTCTGTTACCCTTAGCAAACTCATGCAGGAACAGAAAGCCAAATACCACATGTTCTCACTTATAATTGGGGGTTAAATGATGAGAACACATGGATACAGGGTGGGGAGCTACACACATCGGGGACTACCAGAGGGTGGAGTGTGGGAGGGGGAAGAAGATCAGGAAAAATAACTAATGCATACTAGGCTTAATACCCAGGTGATGAAATAATCTATACAACAAACCCTCATGACACACTTTTACCTATGTTACAAACCTGCACATCCTGCACATGTACCTATGAACTTAAAACAAAAGTTAAAAAATAAAAAATAAAGAAATAAAACATTAGCATTAATATGGAAGGTTAGGCAAGCTTGAAAGTTTTTTGAGTTCAAAGGGACGTCACAAGTAGAGTCACTTCACCACTGAGAGAGCCTGTGAATTGTTCTTACCTGTGTTTTCTCAGAGCCAGAAAATTAATGGCAAGAGACTGGACTATGACTCTTTACACAGGAGCACAGTCATACATTTGTTTTGGAATTAGACCATTTTACTTGTATTTACCAAGCAAAGGACATTCTATGCTGTATCCTCAAGGTCATTTAAAACTGAACACTACCTATTCCATGACTAATCTTTCTTTTTTGGGATGAAAGATGGAACCATTGCTAGAAGGTGGTGGAGTTTCCTTGGGTAAGCAACTGTCAACTCCTAATGATAGGATTTGAGAACCTGCCTTTCCAATGGAAGAAGTGAAAATTTCACTCAGGATCCACTACAAGATGACAAAGGGTAGAGGTGTTATAATATCTATAATATGTTTAAAATACTTCTAAGTACATATGCAATATATACAATATATATAATTCTATATATGATATTAATTGTGCATTACTTAAAAGATTTAGTTCAAGCTAACTTAGGTTCAAATTATATCATACTTAAGAACTATGCACAGTCTAGGCATGGTCAGCTGGTGCTCCAATGAGTAGACTACATTCAAGGGGCAGCTACTTAAATTGCCTCTGTTTGTTGTATCTCGATCAACCACCTAGACTTTGCTAACTAACATATTAAATGTCACAAATGAATTTTATTTATGTAATAGTAGCATGTTGACTAGAATAATGACTATTATTAATAGACTCATGGGGGAAATGAAAAGTGATTAAGATTTATGGACTGGTTGAATTTAGTGTAGGAGATTTGCTTACCCCTGCACAAAGAGGCCAATAGACTTTTTCATTTAAAATGGAGCTCAATGCTTGATCTCTATATAGTTATGTGCCCCACTACTAATTTAAGAATATGATTCTTAAAGTTGTCCTCACATTAGAAGTACTTGAAATGCTTTTAGAAACTACTATTGTCAAAGACACACCTCAGCACAATTAAATCAGAATTCTTTGGAAGGATTCCAGGTGTCACTGGTTTTTAAACTTCTTTGGTGATTGCAATGTGTAACCAAGAACCACTAATCTGAGAGGACGTGTGGTCTTAACTATGATAAGGATTGCAGATTCCGGCCTTTGCAATGGTTTTGGGTCTGTCTAGAGTGACCTTTTCATGAAAGGAGATAGTTGGCTCACCTAATCAGACTGAAAGCTGGACTTCATGGAACACACAGAATGGGTTGTATAAACCATTCTTTGCCTGCTTGATAATCAGTTTTTGATGTATCTGTCTACACATGTAGTAGCATTTAAGACTGAATTTACCCTGACAGAGAAGTTTTTTGAGGAAGCAACAACGCTTAGTCATCTCCAACTTTAGAGCAGCATAGTCTATCAAAAATAAACTAAGGATTACACAAGACCAAATTGGCCTGTTACATATCATTGGTTGCTGGGGAGCATTATCTGTTGCCCCTTTAACCATGGGCTGTTTTGCATAAGATAGTCAATATTTTGGAGTACTAAATCCTCGACAGAAACTTAATTACCATATTTATTAAGAGTAGAGACATTCAATAATAAGTAATTTGTCTTTGATCAGCAAAGCAAAATTGTCCTAAATAGAGAAATATTTACTTTGTAGTAACCCACCACAAAAGAGAAAGTATGCCCCTTATTATCTTTGTAACTAAATTTAGCACTTGAATTTAGATCTTGAGCTTTTATTTGAACTTAGTGGTCAAAAATTTAATCTTTGAAATTGAAGGTAAATTTAGTAAATTCTGGTTTGAACTTCTACTTCTTTAAGTCAAGACTTTCTTAGTGAAGGAATTCCCCCATTCTCCCTTTCTTTCTATTTGCCCTAGAGGTTTTTTATGGTTCAGGGAGATTTATAAATAACCTAGTACTTGGGAATATATGTAATTTATGCATAACTTAACAATGAAACAAACAAAAACTGGTTTTGGCTGAGATGTATAATCTTATTTGATCTTTTTTGATATCTATCCACTGCCTCTGTGACTCAATGTCCATATGCCCATTATTCTGTGGTGCCCAGTTTATTGTGGATCAATGTGTCTTCATTTTCCTAGAATTCTGAGATGTCTCCAAGTCTCCCATCCAGTTTTAGCCATTTCTATATCTTTCTGAAGGGTGTAGGCCACTTTAGGATGCTCCCACAACTATCACATTGAGGTACATGCACTCACAATTTATTACTATAAAATTCAGGTGACAAAATGGCCTTGTGACTTCTCCAGGGGTCTTTCACTAACTCTTCTTTCAGTTTGGGTTCCACTAAATTATTTCTGGATTTTTTATCGTACAACAAGCTGTAGGATAGGCCTGGGACATTTCATCCACAACTTAACTTCCTTGATTATCTTTGTTCATTATTTTGCTTTCCCTAAAACAAATACATGGGTTCTTTGTCAGGACAGGGTCAGAAACCTTTTGAGTTGGGTGCAGATGGCACACAATCAAAGTGTGCCTCTTTCAAGGCTGATTTTATTGGAATGCTAGGCTTTCACAATCTTTGCGTGTTCTATGAGCTTTAAAAAAATCTACCCAGAAACTCACTTGAGTTCTTTATTCTTAGGTGAATTAGCCCTTCCTTGACTCAAGTAATAACCACTGACCCAATGGGTAGAGGGCCCCAGATTTTGTTTTTAATGATGGAAAGAAAAACCTTGGTTATTATCAAAATATTATCTTTTGCTACACTTGTAGCAAAAACTTGTGGCTAATTGAATGGCTGGACTTGGAATAACATAAGCTATTAGCTTATGTTTAAAGTACTTTGTTGTGAGAAAACTGAGGCTTTGACATGTTAAATTACTTGACTGAGAACCCATTGCTAATTAATAGCAACTCTGGGAACAAAAACAAAAACACAGTATTTTTGTACTTCTGGAACCTCAAGAACTTAGACATGAGAAATGAAAAGTCACTAGCTCAATATCAATGATTCACAAACATGGCTGTGTGTTAGAATCAACCACAGAGCTACTGAAAAATATAATGACGCTCCCACAGAAAGTATGCAGATTCAGCAGGGTAAGGTGTGGTCCATGCCTCTATATTTAACAATAATGTCCACACATAATTTCTATGCTTTATAAAATAAACAAAGCTGAAAAGCATGTGTAATACACATGCAATCTACCTCAAATGTTACTATCCTTGGTCGTCTTTTCATCAGCTCTTTGCTGGTTTCCTGAACATGGATGGTAGCCAAGGGAGGCATTAGCTCTGATATATGCACAGTTTGCGGCAATGATTTTAACACTTTGTGTTCTTCAAAATCCTCTAGGATACTTGTTTTTTTTTTTTTCAAACCTGTTAGGAGGACTTTCATCAAAAATTAAAGAACAAGTGTTGGCAAGGATGTGGAGAAAAGGGAACATCCGTACATTGTCAGTGGGAAGGCAAATTGATGCAGCAACTATGGAAGACAGTAAGGAGGTTCCTCAAACAAAAAAATTAAAGATAGGACTATTATACAATCCAGCAATCCCACTCCTGGATAGAAATCAAGTGCTCAACATCATTAATAAGTTATTGGAAACTGTGACCTCTAGAAAACTGAGGTATAATTAAATAGGATACTTCTTAAAAATGTAATTACAATGTGCCATTTTGAAGTTGCATGGAGTGCCTTATAGACATTTGAGAATGGATAATTAACAAATGGTTGTATACTAGAATTTGATCTAAGGCTTACTTTTATTATGATGTGGAAGTAAGGATTGGGACCCTACTTAACCTTTACTCACTTCAAACCTTTTGGCTTTTTTCATGTATCTACCAAGAAAAAGTTAATAGGTGAGTATGACCAAGTTAATATGGATCATAAGGCTTATTTATCCAGCATTTGCCTCCAATAGTTGAACTTCTCTTTTTTGGAGGCTGAAAACCATCTATCTCCTGGCTTTGGACCATAACCTGGCAGTGAGTAGGAAGTCAGTATACTTGTCTACTGGGGGATTTTCCATGATGACCTGTAAAAACATTTCCCAAAATATTTTTGAGTTTGTTCCTGGAAGTACAAACTGTCTTCCAAACTTGCAAAATGAGCTGTGATGTTTGCTCAGTGGAGATTTTTTAAATCACTGAATTTTCTGATTGATAAATGTCTGTTTGGAGAACAGAGAATGTCTGCCAACCACAATCTGCCTCTCAATAATTCTCAGAGAACACAGACGGCAGGAAAGTTTGGACCTCAAAAGCTCTGGAAACCCAGGGGTTTCTGTTGAGTTTAATTACTTTGCAGGTAAGACAGAGGACAGATGTATAATACCACTTCCAGCAACAGAGTGAACTTCAGTATCAGCTCAAACCATTACTTCTTGGCTCCTTGTATAAATCCCCTTGAATACAGAGACAGGAGGCCAAAAATCTGTGTGGTGAGTGTACTTCCAGACAAGGCAGGTGAGAACCCTTAGGAGAAATGCCCCTATCAGGACAATTATTAGGGCAGCCTCATTACCAATGAATTGACATCAGTGGGAGGAAAACCTGAGAGAGGAGGAAGAATAATAATGATATAAATAAAACGGAGGAAGCACTGGAAACTAAAACTGCAAAATTAAAGGTGATCCTGGAAGGAAACTAAGGAAATCCTATTTCAGCTAAGAACAACGATTTGCTTTATTCTCTGCTCCAGATCCAAAGAAGCTTAAAAATATTAGAAAAGTTAGACACATAAGAAGTGACACCTACAAAGCACCAAAATAAACAAAACAATAAGCCTTTTTAATGAAGGAAAACAGCTTCCACTTTGTGACGGGGCTGATGTCTCCAATACTGAGTTTATTCATTGGGATAGAGGCACTGATTGCAGAAAGTTTCTACTGAATGTCAAAAGCCTGTAAGGGGTAACCCTACAAGTCGACATCAACCATAGAAGAGACCCCCAACTCTTTCAGAGCTGAGACCTCAAATTACTGGAGGAGGAATTGACTCAAATCCTGAATCACAGGGAAAATAAAGGTCTTAAATGGGAATTAGCATAACTTATCATTTCCAGCACACCTATCTGACTACCATTTCTTCAAAACGTAATAGGACAGTAGTTCTCAAAGTGTGATCCTTGGAATAGCAGCAGCAACATCAACTGGAAACTTGTTAGATACAAGCAGTTTCAGGCTCCATCCTAGACCTACTTATTCAGAAACTCTGGGTAGAGGCCCAGAAATCTGTATCTCTGTGTGTACAGTGTGTGTGTGTGTGTGTGTGTGTGGACATATATATGTCAAAAATAAAGACCCAACACTGGCATGTTTCTAATTTAAAAATTAATTTGGATTTTACTAGTTTTTTTTTAACTAATGAACTGTTTTTCTGTTCCATCATCCAACACAGGATACCACATTACATTTGGTCTTCATGTCTCCTTGGTCTCCTCTGAATTGTGATAGCTTCTTAGACTTTCCTTGTTTTTTTAACCTTCACACTTTTGAGTCAATTATTTTGTAGTCTGTCCTTCAATTTTTATTCTTCTGATGTTTTACTCATGATTATATTGTGTTATAGGTGTTTGAAATGAATACCACAGAGATGAAATTCCATTCTAACGATATTATATTAGTATGTACATGCTATCAGTATGACTTATCACTGGTTATTTCAACCTTGATCATCTAACTAAATAAGTGTTTGCCAGGTATCTTCACTGTGAATTTACTTGATTTCTCACTGTTATCCTTTTCTTTGGAACCAAGTCACTAAGTCCAGCCCACTCTCTTGGGGAGTGGGAAGAATTTAGTTCCACCACCTGGGAGGTCTATGTATAAAATATTTGAAATTCTTCTGGAAGGAATATTTATCACCCACATTTTATTTATTTACTTACTGACTCATTCAATCAATCATTTTTTATATCTGAATAGACTCAGGTATACTTATTTTACACTGGAGATTTTCTATTTATCTAGAAATTTTTTTTGAGTTGACTTGGGTGTCAGAGGTATGAGGTACATTTCAAGGTATGTTTTTTGTTTTTTTGAACAATTTAATTTTTGACTATATATTATATATATTTAAGGTGTACAATTTGATGTTTTAATATATATTATGAAATGATCACTATATTAGGGCTAATTAACATATTTATCACTTCTACATAGTTAACATTTTTTAATCCTTTGACTAATGTCATCCCATTTCCCTCTTCCCCCAGCTCATAGCAACCACCATTTTACTTTCTGCATCTGAGTTTGACTACTTTAGATT